>NC_000010.11:10616060-10767575 GCF_000001405.40 Homo sapiens | reverse complement strand
ACCCTCTGCAAAGTCTCTCTTTCTCTGGTCACACCCTTTCCCTCACCCTGCTTCTCTTCTAATGGACTCTCTAATACAGTAGTAACATATATATTTTATTTATTATTTTTTAAGTTCCAGGCTCCATTTCCTGAGGGACTTAGGCTGAGAGCATTGGTATCAGGCTCTTGAAAACATACCCTCAGGATGTCATTCTGGAGGCACCTAATTTGACTCAGGCCTCAGTCAATCTGGAAGACATAAATAAGCACAGGAACAGGAGGCCCAGTCTACCCTGTCATCGACTTTGGAAGTAGTGAAACCCGTCCTTGAGCTCACAATTATGGCATCATGGTGGTGTCGGTGGTGGTGGCAGTGGTGGTGGCGGTACTGTTGGTTGTTGGGGTGATTTATGATCAACCGAATGACTTGGGACTGGTTTATGGTTCAAAGACTGGTCAGCATGATATACTGGTGCTAGCCAAAATTGGGTTATTGCTGCATTTCAGCTCCAGCATAGCCCCAAAAGACGGCGATGAAGGAAAATGTCCTAACTCCATAGAACTTCCAGCCACACACTCACCTGTTCCTGTTCCATTGACAGAGAAGTGGAAGTGGGTTGAGATATGAATATATATGGACCGTTGGCAGTGAGAAATGAACGGGTGCTCCATCAGGGGCTTAGAAGGAGAAAGATTGGAAGATCAGGTACAAGTTCGTCCAAGGAAGACATGTGTGAGTGGGTACAAAGCCTGTAGACTTTCATGTCTTATGGCAGTGCCCAGTGAGAAGTCACCATTGAAGTGGCAGCTCTAAAACCCCACAGGGGCAGGGGTCTCATTCTGTGCATGTCAGTCAGCCTCTGCTTTGGGCAACCCCAGGGCAGACATAGCAGGCTCATGAACAGAGTGGCCATGGTGGCAGGGGTGAAAGTTAAACCTCAGCCCAGCAGCATAGGCTCCCTCTCCCCAAGGCTCACCTAGTCCCTGCTGCTGCTGAGTACCTAACCTCCAGCAGTGGAGACCGAGGCTGACACCTCCCCTGGCTCCATTCCCCAGGGTCCACTCAGACACTAGTGGCAGGTCCCTTACACCTGACCCCTTCCCTCCCGATGGAGGCAGCAGTGTGTCTTTCCCGGAACACACATCTTCTCCAAAATATGGCTCTCCCTTCCTCCCCTGCAGGTCTCTACCTACTGATCTACTCCATATACAGTCATCTCAGACACATTTTATGACAAAGGAAGTGCAACAATGGCAGGCAGTAGCAACATAATTTCCTCATTATTCCGTGTGCCTCATCACCCAGAACAGCTGGTCTGTGAAGGACTCAGCTAAGGCACAGCTCAGGGTAAACCTCGGCCAGGATGTACGAATCTGGGAACCAAGGGGAGAGAATTAGGATTGGCTCCTCTCACCATCCATCACCCAATAACAAAATGATGGCATTTGCACTTCCTGTCTGTGCAATCTTAGTTTCCACCAAGTTAGAAGTTCTGGTTTCCGGGCTGAGTGGATGGGACACTTACTTACATAGGAGCACTTGGTTTCTCAGGTTGGAGTGCCGGAGGCCAAGACAGCAGCTTTTGTAAATTGGTAGCTTGGTCCTGACTCTCCTGAGGAGCTGGGAGGGTGGCCCAGTGCGCTTGTGTCTGGCCCAGTGTGCTTGTGCCTTGGGCCAGTGCGCTTGTGCCTGGGATCCAGGGCATTTCCTCTGCAGTCTCTTGGTGCTTCTGAGTTGAATGATGATGATGAGAAATGGGAAATTGCACCAACTGCAGCCCAACAAAGAAAAGACACTCAGTCCTCATGGAGAGAGGTCTGGATCCGCCCTTCAGATAAGCAATGGACAAGCCACGGTGCTGGCTGAGCATGAGCGAACTCTAGAACAGGTAGTGGAGGATCAGCATCCAGCATGACCTCAAGACCAGCTGCAGTCGGTTGTTCCCTCAACCTTTTAACTTAAGGCTTTCTCAGAGACTAAGGCTGGCCACCACTTTGAAGGGGGCACTCTGTGACTGATTGGTTTTATATTTCCTCTTACGGCATCTTGTTCTCACAGCAATAAAGCCCAATTGTGGTCGGGGAGTCAATACAACGCAAGGGCACAGGTAAGTGTGGCGGATAGGTCTTCAGGTCTTCTCAGCCTCATCCACCTCCTGGTCCAAGGCTCTTTGCTCTGGCCTGGCCCTTGCTGTAGGACCAGCTCTGCTCGGATTCTGGCCAGCTTCCCGCAGACAGAACTCAATGGCATCTAATGCTGTCACACCAAACATCTCTCACCTCGTGCCCTGCGCCTTCTACTTTTGTAAGAATTGAAATAAGAGATGCCTTGGGACTGGTTCAAGGCCACCCTTGTGCAATTCAGAAGCGTGGGGCAATTTTTCCACAAAGTGAAAAATGGGACCAGTGGGAAATGGGAGCTGGCAGATAAGGTCTTCCTGCCCTGGACACACTGTCTGAAGTTCACCGTCATTTGTATGGATCCTTGGACATCAGCCCCCACAAGATCAAGCCGTGGGTGACCCTCCACCCCCAAAGGTGGTACTAGTAGCCTGCCCTTGTGTTGGCTCTAGCTTCTCTCTCTTTTCATTCCTGTTTTCCCTTAATCCCGCTTTCCTGGGAGTGCGCTCCCTAATAAAATACTGCACATGAGCTTTTATCTCAGGCTTTGCTTTCTGGGGAGCCTGGCCAAGGCAGAATTCATGTAAGAATGCAGAGATGTGAAGTGGAGATATTTAACTGCTGCAGAAGATGTACAAGCAGATACTCAGCAGACAGTGGAGGTGGGGTACAAGAGCCTAGAAAGTGGGGGAGACCTCTTCATCTTCACTCTGTTACTTCCAGTTGTCAAATATTGGCTTCCAATTGCCAAGTAAAGTATTGGCATGATGATTTATAAGATTATTAAAAAGGCATTAGAAGGAATGGGAAATTAAGATTCTGAGACATGACAGGGTCAAAGGGTGACCCTTTAAATGTGTTTTATATGTGACATTAACACGTGCCTTGGAGCTTACTCTTCCAGACACAGTGATCCTCTAGGCCCTTTCCTCTTGGAGAACTTGGCTCTGTCTCTTCTCAGAAGACACCTTGTGCGGTGTGCAGAGCCTCTCTGTTGTCTGATTAGGTCTGCATGAGCAGTCGTGTAGAACTTTGAAGTGCTCCATCGTATTTGTTTATACCTCTTATGCACGTGGAAACTCAGGTTAGGCAGATAAAAATGGCTAAGGGTGAAGACACAGTATGAGATCGGCGCCATGTTCCCAAATGGAATTTTTGCAGAAAGTATGTTTTTTTGAAAACAATTTCATTCACAGCATCTTTGATTGGAAATTTTTAAAGGACATATGATTTCCCTTTCAAATATGAATTATTGGGACTTTGTCAATGCACACAATAAAGTGTATCATAAATAGCCTCACAGAAAAACACATTAGTCTCCCCAGAGTATCCCTACTGACATCTCCTTTCCTTTCCTTCCCGTCTGAATTTTTGCATGACCCCAGAGTGGCTCTGTTACTAAGAAGAACAAATGGCTGAATGAACACCAAAAGCGTGGAACGCTGCTAGTCTGTGGGTTACCATTTAAAACTCTTTCAGACAGCCGCACAGCGTGAAATACTAATTCACTCCATCTACAATACCATATCCATTAGCACTTTCTCATCCTGGAATTTAAATAGTCCAAAGCTCAGAGAGTCACTAAAGAGAGTAATTAATACAATAGCACAATTCTCCATGGTTCAGGTGATATGATGAATGGCTTTACCTGTCACAAACAAATACTACAGGAGGCAGGCTCTTCCAATTTTGCATTTTGAATATTCCCCCTCCCTCTCCATGTTCTGACATTCTCTTTCCAGGTGGATGTTGTATTTTTGTCTAGTGAAAATACAGGGACCCTCTGTTCCCGCGTTCGTGCCTCATTCTGTTTCAAACAGCTCCACTGTTTGAATAACCACACAATTGCAAAAACAAGCCACAAAAGAGACATGGTTTATATGTTGGTTTCACCTTCCATTTTCTTCCTTTCTGCATCTTCCTCCTCTCACATACACAGGGCAGCTCTGCGGAAGGTACAGACCCTTTATCAATGGGCTGTTTAGTTGCATGACCATGCAGGGTGGGTTTTCCTGACCGGGGCAGCGTTTCCAGGTTGTGTGAGTTTGGAGGGCCTCCATCTCATAATTACATACGTAGGGATCTCAATTTCCAAGTCCATTATCAAATGTATGTCACAGACCACATCACAAGGCTCACGACGAGGGATATGATTGCTCTCATGTGCAGTGAGTGGGAGGTGAAAAAGCTTCCGCCAAATGTTGGAACTGCTCAAATGACCTCTTTTGCGTAAAGGAAAAACAGGTGCTCCATAAATACAAATTGGGCCAGCATTTTGCACTTAGTGATATCTTTTCACACACATTATCTCGTTTATTCCCACAGCTACTGTCCAAGTTCCAAAAGTCAAGCATCATCATGTATGTTTTGTAAAATGAGCAAATTGAAGCTCGAAGAGGCTAAGCAGAGATCGCATGTAGAAATCTTGGATTACAACCTAGGACTGCTAACATGAACTTCTAGTACTAACTAGAGGCTGTAGCTCTAAAAATGTGGTTGGCTTTTCTCAAATCTTTTATAATTTATTTTATTTTAGAGACAGAGTCTTGCTCTGTCACCCAGGCTGGAGGGCAGTGGGCAAGTTTTAAATATTTTGTAGAGACAGGGTCTTGCTATGTTGCCCAGGCTGGTCTCAAACTCCTGGGCTCAAGTGGTCCCCCTGCCTTGGCCTCTCAACGTGCGGGGATTACAGGCATGAGCCACCACAGCTGACCTCATTTTTTTTCAAATCTTTCTTTGCTGTATCCTTCTGGAACTGCTCACCATAGAGGGTAAGTGCTTGTACTCATATTAAAGCCCACTGGCATAGATATTGGGTGTGAATCCCAGAAGCCTGAGACCGGAGAACTACCCCCAAATGGTGGGGGTTATGCTTGCCTAGTGGATTCCGGAATGTTGTCTCAGTTCCCGAGCGTTAGTTTGAATTCGATCTACGTGTAGACATCTGGAATAGGTGACTCCCCTTCCAGGACCCTGGGTGTCTCTATTAATCTACTCTTTCTTTTCCCTCTTGCACGAAATTCTCAGATGATTTTCCTACCTATATCTCTACTTCTTCACCTCCAAGTCATGCCTCAAATGACTTCCATTTAGCTTCTGCTAGCACAATCCATAATTAAATGCTGTTACAGCACTGACTTTCCTATTACTCAGGCCCCTGAATACTGCCCTGCCTCTCCTTACATTTCCCAGAGTGGACATCCATTCTTCCTGTAGAACTCTTCTCCTGCCAAAGTCTCCTGGGTTGCCTCCTACCTCTCTGGTCATTTCTTGTCTGCCTTGTTTGTTGGGTCATCCTTCTCTCCTAAATCTCTGATGTTGGAAAGCATAAGGGCTCAGTTTTAGGACCTCTTCTCTGTCTCTCTCCCAATTTTAGAACATCTCATCAGTTCTAATGAATTCATTTGCCATGTATATGCTCAGGGTTTTCAAATTCATGTTATCATTAAATACTTTTAGTCTACGTCAGGGCTCTCCAGAGAAACAGAACCAATAGGAGATCATCTACATATCTGTCTACACACACACACACACACACACACACACACACACACACACACACACACACGGTTTATTATAAGGAATTGTCTCATGTAATTAGAGAGGCTGAGAAGTCCCCAGATCTGTAGGTGGCAAGCTGGAGACCCAGGAGCCCATGGTTTAGCTCCAGTCCAAGTCTGAAGGCTTGAAAACCAGTAGAGCTGATGGTATGTGTTCCAGTCTGGAAGCCAGCAGGCTCAAGACCCAGAGCTAACGTTTCAGTTTGCATCTGAAGCTAGGAAAAGACCAATGTCCCAGCCCAATTGGTCAGGCAGGAGGTTCTCTCTTGCGATGTGGGAGGTTGGCTTTTGTGTTGTATTCAGGCCTTCAACAGATTGGATGAGGCCCACCCACATTTGAGAGAGCAACTGCTTTATTCAGTCTACTGATTCAAACATTAATCTCATCCCAAAACACCCTCACAGGAACACCCAGAATAATATTTGACCAAATATCTGGGTACCCTGTGGCCCAGTGAAGTTGACACATAAAATTAATCAACATACATTTTTCATGGACTTACACCTCTACCAACCTACTCAACCATGTCTACTTTGATTTCTCACAGGTCCCTCAAATTTAACCTGTCAAAAACTCATTGTATAATCTTTTTCTTCAAATTTATTTCTTCCTCAGGTATTCCTGAAAACTGTAAAATGACACAACTCATTCAACTTCTTATGTGAGAACCTGAGAGATGTCTTTTATACTCCTCCTCCTACCTCCCCTCAAATAATCAATTCCAGCCAACACCCATTTTGAGGTATTTGCTGAAGCTCTCAACTTCTTTTAATTTCTGCTGTTACTTAATTCAAGTCATCAAGATTTTTTTTTGGAATTGTTGACCACAATGACCAAAAAGATCTTCTATGGAACATAGAAGTCTATGGGACAATACCATATCTATGCTCCATAAAACACTGAGTGATCTTTTAAGATACACTTAGACCATGTCACCACCCAGCTTAAAATTCTTCTGTGACTTCCCATTGCTCTTAAGATAAAGTCCAAACTCCTTAATGAGCCCTACAAAGCCTTGCGTGATGCGACCTTTGCTGGCATCATTATCCTTTTCCATCTCTCTCCTTCCCTGAGCCCTGCCAGGAGTTTTTTCTCAGTTCCTCCCACTCATAGAGCTCTTTCTTTCCACAGCACTTTTACAAATCCTGTTCTTTCTGCGAGAAACACTGTTGGCCTTTTTCCTCGTTTGCTTGGACGTGTTCTACTCAGCCTCTAGGCTTCAGCGGACATGTCATTTCACTAGGAAATCTTCCCGAGTTCCCTGCTTAGGAGCATGTATCCTCATTGCAGGCTGATCTCCTTCCTCCCCTCCATCGCAGCTTTCATCATACACATCCCCCATTCACTGCTTCTGTAATTCTATTTAATGCCCATCTCCCACACAAGATGGTAAACTGTATCGACGTGACTTGCTTGCATCTTCTGAGTTAAGGAAATACACGAATAATAATTTAGGGAATAAATGAATGAATGCAATCAAAGAACTGCTGAGATGGCTGGCTCTTGCTACAACCAAGTCACAGTAGCACAGTCTCTTTTCCTTCCAGGTGCCAGTCTGGGTCACATGGAGCATTCAAGAGCCAACAGCAGAACACTCCTAGAGTCAGGCGTTCTCAGGATAAAGAGGGGGACTGGGGTAGGACAGAGAGGTCTAGATGTACCAGGGCAGGAAAGGTAAGAGTCAAGACAACAGTGGTAAAAATGATTTTAGCTGGCCACAGTGGCTCACGTCTATAATCCCAGCACTTTGGGAGCCTGAGGTGGGTGGATCACCTGAGGTCAGGAGTTTGAGACCAGCCTGGCCAACATGATGAAACCCTGTCTCTACTAAAAACAGAAAATTAGCCAGGCGTGATGGCACATGCCTGTAATCCCAGCTACGCAGGAGGGTGAGGCAGGAGAATCACTTGAACTGGAAGGCGGAGGTTGAAGTGAGCCAAGATCGCATCACTGCACTCCAGCCTGTGTAACAAGAGCGAAACTCCATCTCAAAAAACAAAAAAAAAGATTTTAAGAACCTGGCTATTTTAACTACTATTTCTATATAGGAATATCACCGTCTTTTCAAGAATATAATTTGTCTTCTCTGTATGATTTTGCAACAAGCCTACATATTCAGGAAATACTTGGAGTCTGGTTCCCTTATCTTCTGGCAGGGAGAGGAAGATGAGAATTCAGACTTATAAAACTGCTAGAAGAATCACCATGACAATGGTGATTCTCCTATGTGTTGTTAGGGCCATGAAGCCTCAAGCATTGGGCCCAAGGTGAGCCATGGTTGGCTGATTAGAGAAATGGACACTAGGTCAGACGTGGTAGTTCACACCTGTAGTCCCAGCACTTTGCGAGGCCGAGGCGGGTGATCACCTGAGGTCAGGAGTTCGAGACCAGCCTGGCCAACATGGTGAAACCCTGTCTCTACTAAAAATACAAAAATATACCTGCCACCATGCTTGGCACCTGTAATCCCAGGTACTTGGGAGCCTGAGGTAGGAGAATCGCTTGAACCCCAGAGGCAGAGGTTGCAGTGAGCCAAGATCACGCCACTGTGCTCCAGCCTGGGAGACAAGAGTGAGACTTCATCTCAAAAAAAAAAAAAAAAAAAAAAAAAAAAAAGAAAAATGGGCACTGAGTTTCTAGTGAATCCAGCCAATACTCAGAGATGCCTGCTTTATGTAGGGTGGATGAGTTAGGCCTGGCATCTCCATCTATGTTTTCCTATTTTACCTTCCTTTCATACAGTCTTATGCCTTTGGGATTTGTTCAATGATGCATTTGCATGCTATGCTTAGGTCCACGGAATGGATGGCAAACCGTGTTACAAAGCAATCATTGATTCGATAGCTCATATCTCTGTGAAGCAAGGATCTGTGCCAATGAAGCTGAATGTCAGCTTTTGGCAAGGTTAAAAAAATTGAGAGGACTCTCTGACAATTAGGAGATAGGGAAGCTCTCCTAGCAGCTTTGTTCAACAGGCAGTTTTAATCAAAAGACAAATGAAGTTAGAAGACACATTGTATTGATCTTAAAGAAACACAGTGAGGCATATGTCAGGCAAACAAGAAATGTATGGAATCAAGAAAAAAGAAAGGCATTTGTTTTGGCCTGGATGACTTATTTCATTGCACACTATTAAATGCACTCAAATCTGTCAATTACACACTGGATGCTACTTATAATTTTTTGTTTATAGCCATGTAATATCTGAACCATATTTTTCCATTAAGGCACCAAGGTCAATGACACAGATAATTAACCAACTGATTTAGTACATTTATTTTCCCTGAAGTTCCAGGAAGGCTCTCAGTATCCAGCCTTGAGATTCCCACTCTGTGTAGACACTGGGACAGCGTAGGCTCTGTAATGGGACACCAATGTGATCCATGGCTGGCGTTTTGCCTAGCAGCATCATACATCTGCCTAAATGATGATGAATGCTATCTTTGGACGAGGCAGGAAGATGTCATTTCACAGGCCCATATTCCTGACCTCCCAGGGTTTCCCACTAAGACTGCCAAAGAGTCGTAGTGCTGATAATTCCTTATAGAACTCTGAAGGGTGTAAAGGTGACAGGCAAAGCCCATGAAAAGAGCCCAAGGTGCATTGAAGTTTAATCTATTACACCAAGCAGCACAGAGAATAGCTGGATGCATTTGTGTCCTCTTGTTTTGCCCTTCCACGACGGCAGTCAGCAGTCCAGGTGTTATTTCTTCCCTCTCCAGCCGTGCTTCACTTAGTTATATCTAGAGCTGTAGTTTACCTATCAATAAAAAGAATTTGAAATCTCTCAACACAGAGATATTATTTCTGCTTCAACTTATTTCAGGATGCCACAGTTCAAAATGAAAATCTGCAGATTGCTGATAGGTCTGTCAATATCATTCAGCTGCTAACAACATTTTATTTGTGATACCTGTAGACAGAGTGCAGGCCCCTGAACCCAACCACAAACAGAGAGAAGGTCCCGGGGCTCAAACAGTGTGGTTCCATAGGGGCCTAGTTTACAAACTTTGCTTCTTCATTATTGAAAGATTCTTTACAAGTTTTAAACTATATAAAATTTAACCATCTTGTAACAAATTCAGCAGCAGGATAACAAGGGCAGAAACTGTGTCTTCTTTTTTCCTCCCTCTCTCCACATTGCTAAAGAAAGGGAAGTTTTTGCCATAATGCTTTACTAAGCCACAGGTGTAGATCCAACTTCTTCAAACTATATATTTAAAGACAAGTAGCTTATTCTTATATTTTTGGGAAAAAGTCTGTAGTTGATTTCATTTGTATCTCTTTTTATATTTAGGCTGGTATCTTTTCATATGTTTCTTAATAGTTTCTCTTTTAGTGATTTGCCTTTTAGATTGTATACATACATACATACATGTGTGTGCATGTGTGTCATTGTCATTGTTGAATTCCAAGAATTCACAGAGTTAGTCTATTTTATTCTATTTTATTTTTTATTTTATTGTACTGTTTTAAGAGACAGAGACAGTGCAATGGTATGATAATTCCCACTGCAGCCTCTAACTCCTGGGCTCAAGTGATCCTCCTATCTCAGCCTCCCGAGTAGCTGGGACTACAGGTGAACACCAAAACGCCCATCTAATTATTTTATTTTTTTGTAGAGAAGGGTTCTTGCTTTGTTGTCCTGGCTGGTCTTGGAATCCTGGCCACAAGTGATGTTCCTACCTCGACCTCCCAAAGTACTGAGATTACAGGTGTGAGCCATTGCATTTGGCCCATAGTTTTTTGTTTGTTTGTGTGTTTTGTTTTTGAGACAGAGTCCCCCTCTGTTGCCCAGGCTGGAATGCAGTGGTGTGATCTTGGCTCACTGCAACCTCCACCTCCAGGGTTCAAGCAATTCTCCTGCCTCAGCCTCCCGAGTAGCTGGGACTACAGGCACGTGCCACCACGCCTGGCTAATTTTTGTATTTTTAGTAGAGACAGGGTTTCACCATATTGGCCAGGCTGTTCTTGAACTCCTGACCTCATGATCTGCCTGCCTTGGCCTCCCAAAGTGCTGAGATTACAGGTGTGAGCCACTGCGCCCAGTCCCCGTAGTTATTTTTTAATGGATATTGCCATTTTGTCCAGCAAATAGCAAAAATTACTGCTTCTTTAAGTCAATCTGATTTTTAGTCTTTATATTTGCACTAAGACAATCATTCCTAGAAAATTACTGATCACAAATGAATGGAATAGAGTGAATAGATGTGAATAGAGTGGTAGTTCAAGAAAAGAAAAATAAAGGAATCAATAAAAATATCATTATTATCAAGAGTTAATTTAAATATAACTGCATCATTAAAGGCAACATATCAGAGACCTAGTCAATGGGAATCTAAGGGATCCCTGATGTTCAGTGAAAAATTACTCAACAAATATGAAATAAAATATATGATATGGCATAGATTTTATAAATTAACATTTAATGCAGTTTTATTTTAGAAAAAGTGAAAATAAAAATGCCAGTTGAAAACCATGAGAGTGTTTTATTTTCAGGTAAAAATCCCAACTCTATCTCAAACAGAATGACTATCCAAATATTTATTAGGTTGATGCAAAAGTAACTGTGGTTTTTACCATTACTTTTAATAATCAGCAAGATAAATTTTCTTAAACACATTTAAATACAGACAGAACTTTTGAAAGGTCTGCTGTATGAGAATATTAAATGACCTGAAAAGTGTAATAGTCATCTGCCAAAGGAAAATATATAGAAATGGAAAGAAATAGTATCATTATTTTTGGCGGGCCACCATGTTTCCTGTACTATTTCAGGTATGCAGAATACAGAAGAAAGTGAATCTTGGTGTTACATGAAATGGTTTCTTTCAAAATAAATAATTATTTACATTTTCCCCTAATACTATGTCTATGAAATTATTGTGAAAAACATAGATTCCTTGACCAGGCAGCATTTTATATTTAATAAAACCAACATGAGTTAATACTGAACAACAGAGGGATGGTCATTAGGATGGTTTGCTTTGACTCTATTCGGGTAAAAAAGAATTTTTGGCAAGTTGGAATTTGGGTTGTTTTTGGTTGTGCGTCTGGCATCCATTCTCTCATTTCTTCTTCCCAAGAAAACACCAGTTGTATTAATGTACTGGCTGATTTTCCACTCAGCTCAGGTGTCTTGTGAATCTGATCCTACCCGTGGTTGAAGAGTGACTGTACTAAGATCCAGCATAGGAAGGATCACGTGATATAACATCGTAAGAGGGGGCGTGGCCATCACATGAGGGTCTTTTTAGGAAAGATGTTCCTCACTCTTCTGAGAAGGGTTACAAAGATGTCTCTTTCTCTTTTCCCTTTGGACCATTTGTCCTGTGCACCTGTCGTAGAGCGACTGGTGCTGTGTCAAGACCAATCTGAGGAGGAAGCAGCAGACGCAGGAGAGCAGAGCCATAGAGACTGCGCGCGAAAATGTAGCAGAGCCAGTAGATGAAGGCAACACTGAAGCCTATCCCAGCCCTGAATTTCCCCCGTGTTTGGCAAGTAAATGCCGGTATTGTTGAAGCCAGTTTGAGCTGGGTTTTCTGTTACTTGCTACCAAAGCTGTCCAGAACAATATGATTAGAATTGTAATGCACTGTGAAGAAGAGCCAATAGAAGATAAATATGAATATGAGAGAGGAAGAAACTCATGTTCTCACTCTGTCATCCCAAGTATCTGGTGTAAAACAATAAGAGGTTATGTCAATTATCTGTTAATTACCTAGGAATTCTTTGTATCTACTAAGATAGAGATTTTTTATGACATTTTGAGATTACAAACCTGCATTTTGCCACCTCTTATTTTTTTCTCCCTTTCAAGTTTCATCCTGGCATTTGTCTTTTGTAAACATAACCTTGGTGTATATTTAAAGTTATCAATTTGTATCATCTTGGAAGCCAGTGAAGATTGTTTCTGCCCACAGGAAGCAAATGATCTACTTATTGAGGGAAACAGAACATCTAAGTTTTAAAAAGCAATAATAATTCACAAAGCATATTCTCATTGTCCGTTGACTGACGCCGATGGCTTGCTGCTGAGGAATTCATGCAGGTGTTATCATAAGAAGGAGTTATTACTTAAGGCTTGGGTAATTAGGAGAGGCCTTGGAGCATGGAGACTTGTTCTGGGCTTCAGAGAACACGTAGAATTCAAATCTATAAAAAGAGCTGAGGCTAAAGAGCAAGGAGTCAAGTTATCAGTATTTTTGGCACCACATTACTGGTGTTTTAAATTTGGCAAAATGGCTGAAACCTAATTAAAGATACCTAAATAATCTAGACTTAAACTGTGAACAACAAAAATAGACCTGGGGCTAAACACCCTTAAATCATGAAATTCTAAGACAGCAGAGTTCACTTAGAAACCACTTCTTCCTGATCATGCTTCCTTGTAGTCATCATTTGAAGCTGTCTAGTGTCTCTTCTAGTTTCTTAAAGAACACGATTAAGAGTGCTTCTGTTTGGTTAGCGTGTTGGCTTATCCTTGGAATCCCAGCACTTTGGGAGGCTGAAGCGAGAGGACTGCTCAAGTCCGGAAGTTTGAGACCAGCCTGGGAAACCTGGCAAAACCCCATTTCTACAAAAAATAAAATAAAAAAATATTGGCCAGGCATCGAGGCACGTACTTACAGTACCAGCTACTTGGGAGGCAGAGGTGGGAGGATCACTTAAGCCTAAGAATTGGAGGCTGCAGTGAGCTGTGATTGTGCCACTGCATTCCAGCCTGGGTGACAGAGTAAGACTCTGTCTCAAAAAAAAAAAAGAAAAAAGTGTGCTCTGCTTCATTGCTTAAGTAGTTAATTTCAAATGCTTTTCTAGTCAAATACTAAAAAAAAAAAAAAAAAAAAAAAACCACCTCAGCATGTACAAATCTCCAAACAACCTTTATTTATGTTTACTTTTAATAAGAGCTATGAAACATGTCTCAACAAGCAGGAACCTAATTGCATCAATGCATTTGATCTGTTGAACATCCTGTTCATAATAAACCCTCACCTATAAATACACATTGAAAATACAAATTAAGCATCCACATTAAGCAATGCGGCCTGTTTCCTAGATGTCATGGGTTTTGCTCTGGAATTATCTGTATAACCTCAAGAAGGGGCCATGTTTTTTCTATAGTTCAATGCATAAACTTTAGTTTTAATTGGTGAAGTCAGGTGCATGTGACCAAGTCCCTAAGGTAGGAAAATTAGGAAGAATTTTACTGTTTCAAAAGTCAACTGTTCATCTTATAAGTTCTCTCAAAAGACTTGTGATTTTTTAATATAAGAAAGAGAAATGCTACTTAAGTTGTCCAAGAAGAAAGCTATATAATTGATTAACATGGTAGTGTGTTTCCCGGTCCTTGGATACATTTCTGGTCTGGGAGTGGGCTCACTTTTCATGACACCATTCGTATCCGCAATGATACCAGGGAGCAAGAAAAGAGGATATTCTCCTTTTAAGTGGATTGGAAGTAATGGTGGAATGCTTGCAACTTTGAGCTAAAGTATATATTTTTTTGTGAATCACTCTGTTGCAGAGTTACACACACGCACAAATAGAGAAGCAAAATCCCATATGCACTCTTGATCTTAACACACACACACACACACACACACACACACAGAGCTTTGGAAATTGGAATTCATTTTTAGAGAAAAAGTTTTTAAAATGTGACCCTTGATAATTAAAGAGACATAAACTTTCTATGATAATGGCCTTAAATTGTGTTTCACGGTGTGACTTAAGATCCATCCCCACCAAATACACACAAACTAAAACAAACATTTCACCAAGCAATGCTTACCTTTTTAATATTTAATGCACTCAGAGAATTATTTATTCTATGTCTTTCATTTAAAAATTAAAAAGGGTAGTTGCAACCCACAACGTAGATTTTACAATTCACCAAGGGCTCACATTAGTTGGAAAACACTGTCTTTAAGTACGTTATGTGATGTTTGGGAACAATGGTAATATATGTAAACGTGTGCAATATTGGTTTGTGAATATTTGAACTAGGATTCTCCTGAACCAGGGATTAGCAACAGAATAATTCTGAGACTCAGAATCCCACTTTTAATGCCTATCATGGTAGAATTTTTTTTTTTTTTTTTTTTTTTACTACCGGTATTTTGCTCCCATGAGTAATACCAGTAAATTATTTTGCCTAAATTCTTTTAGATCTCTGGAATATCTTTTTTTTTCTTTTTCTTTCTTTTTTTTTTTTTTTTTTTGAGACGGAGTCTTGCTCTGTCATCAGGCTGGAGTGCAGTGGTGCAATCTCGGCTCACTGCAACCTCCACCTCCCGGGTTCAAGCGATTCCCCTGCCTCAGCCTCCTGAGTAGCTGGGATTACAGGCATGCACCACCACGCTCAGCTAATTTTTTTGTATTTTAGTAGAGAAGGGGTTTCACCATGTTGGTCAGGATGGTCTCAATCTCCTGACCTCATGATCTGCCCACGTTGGCCTCCCAAAGTGCTGGGATTACAGGCGTGAGCCACTGTGCCCGGCCTGGAGTATCTTGAAATATAACAAAACGTCATGTCCTGCTAAGTCACAGTGCTCTGTCATATTTCTAGAGCCAGCTTTATTTAAAAGCTGCAGCTATCCACTTGCTACTACTGGCATCTTAGACATAAGGAGGGTTCTGCACTGTGATGGGTACTTTAGCCATGGTTAATAGTGACAATGACAGAAACCCTCCAGGTAGTGTCCACGGACCAGATCCCAGGCCTGACTCTCTCCTGGGAGGAGTACAAGCCAAATGGAACCAACATCTGGATATGGTCCATGCCCTGCTGTGAATTCTGAGAAGCAACCTTCGTCTGTGACCTCTTGCATGTTTTCAGTGAGAACACCAGTAGATTAGGTAAAACTTCCCCTTCATCAATTCAGTGACCGAAGCAGGTCATAATTTGTTGTTACTAACACATCTTTTCTCAGCAAGAATATTTGATTTCATGGGTCTATTTTATCTGTGGATGTATTTTAAACTTTAATCAAAGAGCCAGGTCACGAGAGCTATGCAACTTGAGAATCTATTAGTACCAGAAACCACACTTGATTGTTTAATTTCTCAATTAAAAAAATTTCCATTCGCAAATTGGAAATACGATGTATTTCACAAACACACCCAATTTAACTACTCATTAAATCATAATATTAATCTTATTTTTTTTCCCAAAGCAGTACGAGATTTGTGCTGATCCACCTCTACTATCAACTTAATCTTTTGTGACCAGGGGTTAGCAATGAACAAAAGCTTAGTCATGGAATTTACAGCCATAGAAGGAAGGTAACATCACTGGTCAATATTGAGACTGAATGCAGTGCCCTGCCTCATCAGCATGAAGTTCTACTTAAAGGGACTATCAGAGAAAAAAAGGCAAAAAACACCATCTGGGTGGAATTACAACATGGCTGGCATGTATAACAACTATCTATGGTGGTCTATTTTGCCCCTTAAGGAGTTATCATTCTGTGCCCTTCAGATACGAACTTGCTTCTTTGTCAGACTTGGAATTATAGCTGAATTGGAACTACATTCTTTTACTTTCCAGGACATTTGTGTCTCTACCTCCAGACTGAAGTCAGCTGTTTGGAAAGCAAACTTCCTCATGGAACGCAGTGAGTTCTCTCTCCATTTGGCATAAATGCTTGTAGGGCAGAGATACTTATTTTTCACAAAAGGACAAAGAGGCACCAGAAAATCTGATTTATAAATGCACTCCCAAACCAAGATCCCAGAAAGGTTTTGCTCCCACAGGCTCAGCACTCCAATATTTCTCAGAAAAGGAGCTATTGTTAGCACAGTGAGATCTTCTTAAGCCTGCTGGATTCTAAAAAGAGTGCAAGGAATATTCAGGGATTTCTAGACATCGCTGAAACGGGTTCGAAATCCTCAAACAATTATTTTGAGAAGGAATGTTTGTTATTTCTGTAGGTCTTTGTATCATCTTTAACAAAGGGATTTGGATTTCATAGATGCTAGTGTCTAAGTTGGAATAAGAATGGAACGGATTTAGTGACTCCAGGGACCTCAATCTGCACCCATGGCAACCAAATTTCAGCAGGGTCTCACCACTTGAGTTTCAAGGACGCCTTTGCCAGCTGGGATTTAATTAATGAGAAATCAACAGACAGGTGACAATCATTCTATTCTTCCACCTTATCACCAGGGCTAGAATTTGTGACAAAAGTTTTAATTAAACTTTAACTTTCTCTTGCCTAATTAACTTTAAGATGGAACACACGTATACACACATGTGTATTTGCGTGAATAAATTTATTTGTTAAATTTTTTCAATTCCTTGTTTTACATCAGAGCATCTGACAGGGAAATGGACAGTATTTAATCCAAATTAATCCAATGTGAATTTCACCTTCTTCAGTTGTCTTTCTTAAATGTTAAAATACTTAAAAGAGTGCCTGACCCATGTCAATGCACAGTAAGTATTAGTTAACCATAACAATTTCACTTCTTTCATCTGCCTTCCCTGGTTCAGAATCTTTCTCTGATTTTTTGCATTTTCCCCAAGAGCTCTAACCAAATACTACACTAACTATAAAAAATAGTAGGACTGATCCTTTCAGTGATGGAGAATTAGTGGCATTGCTTTTCTTTTTTTTTTTTTTTCTTTGAGATGGAGTTTCACTCCGTCGCCAGGCTGGAGTGCAGTGGTGCAATCTCGGCTCACTCCAACTTCTACCTCCCAGGTTCAAGCAATTCTCCTGCCTCAGCCTCCTGCGTAGCTGGGATTATAGGCACGTGCCATCACCCTCGGCTAATTTTTGTATTTTTAGTAGAGATGAGGTTTCACCATGTTGGCCAGGATGGTCTCAATCTCTTGACCTCATGATCCACCCGCCTTGGCCTCCCAAAGTGCTGAGATTACAGGTGTGAGCCGCCTCGCCCGGCCTATGGCATTGCTTTTGATAGATCATTCTATACATTTGAATTGAGGGTAGGTGTCCTATCTACTTGTTCCTCTTATTTCCCCAAGGTTCTTACCAAGATGCCCTTTTCTCTTTACTAATTACCACTAGCTTCAATTTAGAACAGTCAGATTGGCTCATTATAAAACATTCTGAAAATGCTTAAAAGCAAAGAGAAAATATGAAAATTACCTTAAATCATATCATTTATTGATAACAATCATGAACATTTTTACTAATTTGCTTCCAGTCTTTTCGTCTTTATAGACATTACTTGCAATCTTTAAATAAAGCTGGGATCATACTACAAATGCATCCGAGCAGCCTTCTTTTCATGTATACATTTAAAATAGTATCTTATGCCATTAAATATTTAAAAAATATAATTTGCAATGGTGCTTAACATCCCATTCTATGACTCTATACTATTCACCCTTCCTCCTTTATGAGACATTCAGATTGTATCAGTATTTTGATATTCTAAATAAATAATAATATCGTTTGCACATTGATGCTTAGTAGACATTGTTGGCTGATTTCTGTCACTCAGGTGCCATTTAATCCACAATTTTGATGGATAGCACATAAAACTGTAATTTAGATTTCTAGGCCACTTAGTACCCTCAGCTTGTTCCCCATGCTGTAGCCTATTTATTATAGAGGGAGTAGAAGGTGATATGCCTTCTGTAATGAAGCCCACGCTCACAGAAGCTCTAAGTTGATTTTATATCCAGCCCAAATATCCTGTAGATCTAGAATCATGAGTATTCTATAACAGTACAACAATATGTGACACATAGTAGACATTAAATAAGCATTTCTAGACGAATAATACAATTATCTAGTTGACATTTCACTCTGTTTTCTTGCAAGCATTTCAAACTCAACACATTCATACAGTGAACTCTTAATTCCTGCTACGAATCTCCCGTAAAGCAAAAATACTACCTGGCTCTCTCCCTTCTCCCGATCTCAGTAAACTGAACAATTCATACTGGTTTGGCAAACTGGAAGGCTGAATCATCTTTGACATTCTCATCTCACTCACCAAACACAGCAAACCCTATTGCTTCCTTTACAGACTCTGCTTCCAATTCACCCACATCTGTTTATCTCCACAACCACCACCTGATCCAAGTCACCACCAGCTCATTGTCAGTCCTTTTCCCTGGACTCCTCTGTCCTGCCATTGACCTCTTTCAGAGAGAATTCTTTTTTTTTTTTTTTTTTTTTTTTTTGAGACAGAGTCTCGCTCTGTCACCCAGGATGGAGTGTAGTGGCACAACCTCGGCTCACTGCCAGTTCTGCCTTCTGGGTTCATGCTATTCTCCTGTCTCAGCCTCCTGAGCAGCTGGGACTACAGGTGCCCATGACCATGGCCGGCTACTTTTTTGTATTTTTAGTAGAGACAGGGTTTCACTGTGCTAGCCAGGATGGTCTCGATCTCCTGACCTCGTGATCCGCCCACCTTAGCCTCCCAAAGTGCTGGGATTACAGGCGTGAGCCACCGCGCCAGACCCCAGAGAGAATTCTTGAATATATACTTGGGATCCTGCCTCTCCTCTCCTGAAAGCAACATAATTTGCACTTAGCACTTTTAAATTTAATTTTATTTAGAGACAAATAATATTTGTGCATATTTTCGGGGTCCACATCATATTTTGTTCCACGCATAGACCGTGCAACGATCCAGTCAGGGTATTAAGGTATCCATCACCTCAACTATTTATCATTTCTATGTGTTGGGAACATTTCAAGTCCTCTTTTTTTTTAGCTATTTTGAAATATACAACACGTTGTTAATTATAGTCACCCTACTCTGCTATTGAACATTGGAACTTATTTCTTCTATTTCACTGTATGTTCACACCCATTAACCAGCCTCTGTTTATTCCCCCCACCCTATACAGCCAGCCTTCCCAGCCTCTGGTATCATTCTACACTCTTCCTCCATGAGTGCAACGTTTTAAGCTCCTATCTATGGGTGAGAACATGCAGTATTTGTCTTTCTGTGCATTTGGCCCTTCTAATAAAATGTAAACCCGGCTGGGCACAGTGGCTGTTTCACCACAGTGGTGAAACCCCATCTCTACTAAGAGAAGTAAAAATAAATTAGCCAGGCGTGGTGGCACATGCCTGTAGTCCCAGCTACTCGGGAGGCTGAGGCAGGAGAATGGCATGAACCCTGGAAGCGGAGCTTGCAGTGAGCCGAGATCGTGCCACTGCACTCCAGCCTGGACGACAGAGCAAGACTTCGTCTCAAAATATATATATATATCTATATACCCAGACTCTTTAGCATGGCTTATGAGGTGCTCCCTGGCTGTCCCCTGCCATTGGCCCTTTTTTACATCCTGTGATTATGCCAGTATTTTCCATCCTCAGAGCATCCTCTGAGGCTGTCCTTTTTAGCTCTGTATCCCTGATGATCCCCGCTTTCCCTCAGCTGCTCTTTTGAAACGGAATCTTTCTTACACTCCAGGTTCAGGTGCCTGCCGCCTTCCGTCAGCCTCCAGACACCATCTAGCAATGTATCCTTCCCCTTTCCTTCGTTGCACTTGCCACAATTTGCAAGTGCGTTTCTTTACTGGCTTATTATTTGTCTCTTTCACTAGACTGAAAACTCCAAGAAAGCAAAGGCCATCCTACCTGTTCAATTTTTTGTGTGTTTTACACACAGTGTCTAGGACAAGGCTTCTTGGCACAAAAGAAACCTTGGAGAAATATTTATTGAAAGAGTCCTTAGATTCTATCACCCCAGTGTGGGTAGGGATGATTTCTTTAGAACAGCCTCCATTTCCAGCTCCACCAGCTTGCAGACTTTTAAAGGATGGACCTCTTACCTAGACAACATCAGGCTCAATTTTAATATTTTTCTAAACTCCGCAAGAGAATCCTATCCTTGAAAAAATCTTGATGACTGTTTAACAAATTCAACAAATATTTCCTAAGGACTTACTTCAAGGAAGCCAGAGCCTAGGTAGGTGCTTTTCTCAGATACCATCCAGTTCTCAGTTAGAAATTAAGATAACACTTTCTATCTCCCATACTTCTCTGTCTAACACATGGTGACACCAGGCAGCAAAGGTGATGCTTTGGAAAACTGCGAAGGCATATGATTTAGCAGTGATGTGGTATTAGGTTGGTACAAAACCAACCTAAACAGTTATCTATTTTTGGTACATTCAAGATATTTAAATCACTCATTTAATAATTTAAAAGCATAATGATTTTATTATATTAATACTTACTAAGAATAGCAACTCTAAAATCAATACCACCGAAATCTCCGATTTTACGTCTATGAGACTAGTAACAGGTTTCCACCAAATCAAGAAACTGCTTCACAATGTTGGTTTCTGTTCAGTCTTAAGCAGAGGGAGGTCAGAAGGATAATGAGAATTCTTTTACAACATGCATTAGAACTCAATTTTCAGGCTTGGCCTCCTTCAGAAGTTAAAGTTAAAATGATTTCCTTAAGCTTCTAAAATTTTTGAATTCAAACTCTATATAAAATGGCTAATCAATCTGAAATCTGGGTCTGTTTTTCGTCTAAGCTTATTTGGCATAGCATCTCTCCAAGAGGCTGACAGCACTAATCAAATTCTTACATTCTCTGTAAGCAAACGGGGTGACTAACAAATTTTGGTGAATGAATGCATAATTGAATATTAAATATCTGACTTTTAATGTCTGTGTCAATATTGTCTATGTTGTCTGTTATCCCGGTGTTTTGCAGATTTTACTTGTTGCCGTCAAAGAATGCAGACTATTCCATCTTCATAATAACAAATCCTGCTACAAGATTTAAAAGCAGAAAGCAGTGAAAGAAAGCTGTGAAAAGCAAGGAGGTGAGGCAGCTGATCTGTGTTAGATGAATGGTTAAGATTCAAGGGGCTGGAGAATTCATGCCCTGGACTGGCCATCTAATTAAAATGAGAAATGACAAAGGCAGAAGCTAAGCAGTTTGAGATACTAATAACCAGGCAAAAATGCAAAATAAGGACAGTTAGTGTTCATTTCCATCCCTATGCCATCAAAACCAAATGACAGGCAGGAAATAATATCAACATGATGCAGGTAGCATCAAACGTGTTTTGCCCGCACATTGCATAAAGCAGATGGGAAGACCCGATTATCATCCCTGCTCAAGTACAGAGGTACTGAGAAATTCCCAACGGTGATATGACTTACCCAGAGATACCTACATTAAGTTTAAAGGTAGGGAGGCTTGATGGTCAGCTGCTTCCATGGTCATTTTAGAGGGGTCACCCTCCATTAGGCAGAGACTGGCAGGAAAAAATCCATCACCAGGGAGGCAGAACGAAGATAGGCGGTCTTTGTAGGGATGGTTATACTCAATGGAGGGAAATGGAACTGGTTTAAAATTATACTAACTCTTGGCAAGCAGGCCAGTTAGGAGGAGGTTAAACACAACACACAACTCGAAGCCCCAGGAGGAGACAGGCTGCTCTGTTGGGAAGGATCTGCCAAGCTCTCGACTTCAAAGAGAGCTCACCAGGGGGTGCGGAAGAAGAGAAGAATTTGGATGAATATGTGAAAATGTTTACATGAATCTAGGAGGAGAGATTGAACAAATTCACATGGACTAGAAAATTGCCTTGAAAACTATGAAAGGAGATACGAGTAATGAAAGGAAAATAATTTAGTAAGAAATCAAGGTGATGAAGCAGCAGCTGTGACCAATAAATGTTATTTTGCACGAGGTCTGACCCCAGTTCTGCTTGCTTGCCGAGTGATGATGGAAGAAACAGAAAATCACAAGTAGGCCATGTCCATGAAACAGGCCTCTTTTCAAATGTCTCTTCAGTTTTTATCATAGTTTTTTTTTGTTTTGTTTTTTTTTTTTTTACGTGGCATGGTTTTGATGGATTTGACGGCAGCCACGTTCTGCCTATCTTTCATGGAAGAAACGTTTCCGGCAGGAATAAACTCATATTCACGCCTTCGAGTCAGGCTTCTTGAGCCTTAAAGCTCTGGTTATATACTGGAAGGCTGGCTATGTGTGCTGTTTTGAGAACTCCATATACAAACTGCATCCAACAGGAAAGATTGGTAAAATGGAGAGTTGGTAATTAGCTTCCATTTTTGGTGTAGAGGGGATTTGGGTGGGAAAATCTCCCTCCTCCTCCTAGAGAGCCTCTTTATGACTTACAAATTTTTATCCTGTAGTCAGAGTCTGAGGGTAAAACAAAATTAATAACAATTGACCAATTAAATGTCACACTAGAAGGGGCTCATCTCATAGTACATACTCCATGGATGCTTGCTAAAAAAAAAAAGCAGAATCATTTTTGCTAGTATAATAGTCACAGATAAATGCATATTTAAGACAAAAAGCAACCTATTCTAATTGCTTTGAATTTTGGGATTTGCCGTATAGGGCAGGACACACTGGGCTGGATGGGATCAGGTTTGTGTACTAACCACAGTGGCTAGAAATGGCTGGTATGACACGGAAACCAGCACTGGATCCAACTTATCCTTACTTGGGAATAATTAGGTGTCATAGGAAATTGCTTATAAAAGCACTCTTTAAACACTTTGGAAATGTACTAAATACAAATAAGTACTAAATTACATGTACCATTACTGTTAATTTATGACCTAAAGATTTCTTCTTGCTTCTTGCAAATGTGAATAATTACACCTGATATCTCCAGGCACTGAAATTATATGCATTTGAATGATTTAGGATGCGAAATAATACTGGTATTTTTTTAAACTCAGAGAGGAGAAATTTGTGTGTAGAAGAGAGTGTGGCTTCTAATGTTATTCCCAGCATATAGGTGGGCTGGCAATACTGGCACTCGTATACATGGGCTTGAGATTTTAGAGCTTCTTTGAGCAACTTTGGATTAATTTCACTGTTTTAGATCTTTGTAAGACAGTCTTATCTGAGTCTTTGGAGGAAAAAATTAGCTCAAAAACAATTCAATATTTAAAAAAATCTGGGTAGAACACAACATAAAGAAGAAAAAGAAGTTACTAAGAACATTTTACATTTATATACCATATCCAGGGGTTATCAAAGATGAGCATGGCTGCTGCTGGACTACAGTGGCCTACAAGAATCATTTTATTTGTATCGATATGTGTTTCTAGAAGTCTATTTTTGGATTTTGGATTTCTATTTTGTTTAGGAACAATTGCCTAAAGTAGTGTCTTTAAGAGTTCATATGGTCTGTATGGTGGCCTCTAAAGGTAATCATCCTTGCTGTGTGATATTCTAATAATTTCCATAGCAACCACTATGAAGATGTCACAAAGAGGATTATGACATCAAGTGTGAAATAAACAACAAAAACAAAATATCACTAAGACCAAGATGCTGCCCGTGCACTAAATAAATGAGTGGGAAATAGACAAAATGGAACATTGTATTTTCCAATTAAAATGTTCTTGCACTCATAAGTTGCCTATCAGTGAGGGAATCCTCAAATATGAGTTTGGGCCAATGGTATCTTCTCATCAGGGGTGATCATGGCTCAATTCTAAATGCAGCCATTTAGAGATTAGAGCTATTCTCAGTTTCTCAAAGGGCAATACTTGATCTAGCTGCACAGTATGAAACACTTTTCAGAAAACTGTATTATTGTGTGTATCTGTAACTTGTCATTTCTGCTTCTTGTCAAAACTGCTATGATGTCTTTCAGTCCAAAGAAACTTGCTTCGCTTCTAAAGACCACCGCTCATTTCAATAGAGACCACTGGCTATATTTCACATACTAAATCATAGTGAGCATCCATGTATGATTTCCAAAATCAGAGGGACTTTCTTTTGGATAAAAATGAACACACTATGAGATCAGAGGAGTGTCTGCAGTGGGGAAATAACTCTGGTACAACAAAGTAAACTCTGTGGGATCTAATATCATTTTCTTCATCATTTAGCCTCAACTGGGAACAGCCTTAGGCACATAGTAGGTGCTCAGAAAGTGTTAAGTCAATGAATAAATGAATGTAGCAATGAGATACCAGGAAAGCAAAGACAGAAATGCCTATATGTAACTTACAAAATGTTTCTCCATAAAGTTGAGAATCCAACCTCAGTTCAAAGAACATAACACGAATTTCTCCTTCTCATGAAGATGCCACTCTCTTCTTTTGTTAATAGAGATCACAAATCCTCCCTTAATGCACATTTCTAGTGAGGTACAAGGTCCTAACTAGGTTGGAGAAAATTGCCCTGATTGTCAAAAGGTGAGGCTGGCTAGCCAGCCAGGCAGAGACCAAGCCATGCTGTAAGCCACAATAAGCACTGGCCTTATCTCTAACAATTTCAAGTTGAAAACTTTTATCACTTTTCTTCTAATTTGACTTATTCCAAGTTAATTTCACCTGAGTAAAAATGTTCTTTTTTTTTTTTTTTTTTGCAACAAAGTCTTGCTCTGTTGCTGCAGTACTGTGGTGCTATCTTGGATCATCCTGCCTCAACCTCCTGAGCAGCTGGGACCACCAGCGTGCACCACCATGCCTGGCTAACTTTTGTATTTTTTGTTAAGACAGGGTTTTGCCATGTTGCTGAGGCTGTTCTTGAACCCCTGAGCTCAAGCAGTCTGTCCACCTAAGCATCCCAAAATGCTGGGATAATAGGCATGAACCACAGCACTCACCCAAAAGAGTATTGTAAGGAGATGGTGGAGAAAAGGGTGTATGGATAAATTTGACTATACAGTAAGTCCTCATTTAACCTTGTTAATAGGTTCTTGGAAACTATGACTTTATGTGAAACATGGTTAACAAAACCAAAATTTTTTTCTCATTAACAGTATAATGAAATGACATTGAATGAAACTAAGTTATCTGAAGACTTGACATTTCACTTCAAGTTGCAGTTTCCAAGAACCTATCAATTACCTTAAATGAGGAAATTGTTCAGGGGAAGGCTGGAATAATTTCAGCAATAAAATAAATAATGGTAGTATTAGATAATACATAGAACAGCATGGGTTCATACTGTTATAAATGCACTAAAAAGGGAGAAGGAACATCTCTTACTTAAGAATTTCAATTAATAATTACAGAAAGAATGAAATAGAGAAATCACCATTAGACAAACAACACAGTAACAATTGTTGTAGACAAGAACCACCAAATGGATTATAAAATTAGAGGGCAAAATTGTGAGGAGGAATCGGGATACTTGCATAGTCTCAAACTATCTTCCCTATGACAAGTAATTTCAAGAGAAAAATAGTAACTTTCTAAGTGGAGATACTGAGTGGACAAGGCCTTAACCAAGTGACCAAAGTTAACCTCACTAATAATAAGGCATACTGGCCTGTTGAACACTGATTTGAAGCACTGAGAAGGCAGCATCCTTTCTATGCCATTCTTGCCAAAACCCATAGCTGTCTTCTAATCAGGAGAGCACATCAGACAAACTCTAAATGAGGGTGATACTACAAAACAACCGATGAGTATTCTCCAAAAATGTCAAGTTCTTTTTTTTTTTTTTTTTTTTTTTTTGAGACGGAGTCTCTCTCTGTCGCCAGGCTGGAGTGCAGTGGCGCACCTCTCCCTCCCGAGTTCAAGCAATTCTCCTTCCTCAGCCTCCTGAGTAGCTGGGACTACAGGTGCCCACCACCACGCCCAGCTAATTTTTGTATTTTTAGAAGAGATGGGTTTTCACCATGTTGGCCAGGATGGTCTCGATCTGTTGACATCGTGATCTGCCTGCCTCGGCCTTCCAAAGTGCTGGGATGACAGGTGTGAGCCACCGCACCCGGCCTGTTTTTTTTACAAAGTTGATTTTATTGTGTGTATTTAAGGTATACAACATGATGTTCTGATACACATATACACAGTGAAATGTTCCTACAGGTAAACAAATGAACATATCCATTACTTTTTATAGCTAACTTTTTTTTAGTGGTAAGAGCACCTACAAATCTAGTTTCTTAGCAAATTATTAGTATGCAATACAGTATTGTTAACTATAGCCCTCCTGCTGTGTATTAGATCCCTAGAATTATGAATTCTGCCTTACTAAACATTTGTACCTTGTGACCAGTGTCTGTTCATTACCTACCTTCTCCAGCCCTGGTCATCAGTGCTATACTCCTTGTTTCTATGTAATCGACTTAAAAAAAAATCCTGCATATCTAAGTGAGATCATGCAGTATTTTTCTTTCTGTGGCTTATTTCACTTAGCATAATGTCTTCCAGTTTCATCCATGTTGTCACAAATGGCAGTATCTCTTTTTAAAGGCTGATTAATACTCCATTGAGTGTGTATGATATATACATACATATATTTCTTTATCCATTTATTCAACAATGGGCCTCTAGGTTGTTTCCACATCTTGACTATTGTAAATACTGTTAACACAGGAGTACATATATCTCTGCAAGGTGCTGACATCTTTTTTTTGGGAGGGCGGGTACATGGAGTGGGAGATAAACCTGGAAGTGGTATTGCTGGATTACCATGACAGTTCTGTTTTCAATTTTTTGAGGAACCTCCATACCATTTTCCATAATGGCTACACCAATTTACACTCCTACCAACTGTGTATAAGAGTTCCCTTTTATCTACACACTGGTCAACACTTGCTATCTCTTTTCTTTTTGAGTGAGGGATAGTCTGTTCAATAAGTGGTGCTGGGAAAACTGGATAGCCACATGCAAAATAATGAAACTGGACCTTTATCTTATACCTTATGCAAAAATCATTTGAAAATAAATTAAAGACCTAAAGATGAGACTTGAAATGGTAGAACTACTAGAAGAAAACACAGGGGAAAAGCTCCTTGATATTGGCCTTGGTAATGATTTTTTGGACAGGCAAAAAAAAAAAAAAAAAAAAGCACAGGCAACAAAAGCAAAAATAAACAAACGTTAAACTAAAGAAACTTCTGCATAGCAAAGGAAACAATCAACACAATGAAAAGACAGTCTATGAATTGAGAGAAAATATTTGCAAACCATGTATCTAATAAGGGCTTAATATCCAAAATATGTCAGGAACTCACACAGCTAAATAGCAAATAAACAAACAACAAATAAAAATAACAAAAACAAATAACCTGATTAAAAAGGGGGCAAAGGACCTAAATAGACATACTTCCAAAGAAGAGTAAAAATGACCAACAGTCTCGAAAAGGTGCTCAACATTGCTAATCATCAGGGAAATTCAACTGAAAACCACAATGAGATACCACCTCACAACTGTTAGGGTGGCTGTGATTGAAACTGTCACATTCTTAAAAGACAAGGAAAGGCTAAGGAACTGTTACAAAAATTGGGGGAAACTAAGGAGACATAAGAGCTAAATGCTTTGTGGGATCCTGGATTGCTTTCTGGAAGAGAAAAGGGCAACAGTGGAAAAACTGGTGAAATATGAATATGTTCTGTAGTTTGAATGATAGTATTTTATGAACGTTAATTTTCCAGCTTTGATCCTTTCACTATGATTATGTAAGATACTAACATTATGGGAAGCTGGATGATGGGAATATGGGAACTCTACCATTTTTTGCAACTTTTCTGTAAGTCTAAAATTATTTCAAAATTAAAATGCCCAAAAATGGTATATATGGTGCAATAATGTCTGTTGCAATTTCCCTGTCTCCAACTGATCATTGATTAGCACTTGTATATTTAAACATTTGGAAGATTTCAATGAAACATCAAACAAAACCAATTAAACAAATTTTATTATGTAAATAATCATTGTCAAACATTATAAAATAAGCATAAAAACCTTATAATCTCACTGTTTTGTTAATATTCATCTGTCCTGAGTTTTCTATAGACATATATATGCATCTACTAATATATAATATGAATACATATAAACATATATCATTTTTGTTATCGTCAGATTCTATTTGGTGATTTTTTTTCACTTAAAAATAAGTTGGTAACATATTTTGTATAAATACATATACACCTGTAGCCTCGATTCTGTGCTTTTAAATAGACTTTAATTTTTAGAAGAGTTGTAGATTTACAGAAAAGTTGGTAGCACAGTACACAGAATTCCCATATACCCCATGCCCAGTCTCTCCTACTATTACAATCTTACATTAGTATGGAATATTTTTTACAATTAGTGAATAAAAGTTGATACATTATTATTAACTAAAGTCCACGGTTTGTTCAGATTTCCTTAGTTTTTACCGAATGTTCTTTTTCCCTTCCATGATCCCATCCAAGATATCACGTTTAGTCATCAAGTCTCCCTAAACTCCTCTAGACTTTGACAGTTTCTTGGACTTTGCCTATGTTTGATGACCTTGAAGATTTTAAGAAGAACTAGTCAGGTATTTTGTAGGATGGCCCTCTATTGGAATTTGTCTGATGTCTTTCTCAAGGTAGACTAGGATAATGGCTCAAAACCTCGGGTTGTATGTCTTAAATATATACAACTTTTATTGGTCAATAAAGCTGGAAAGAAAAGACTGGGGTGGTGAGGCTTGCGGAGGGACAGCACAAAGATAAAGAGGCATTCTCGTCATGTCATACCAAGGGTACATGCCCTGGCATGACTCATCAGTGCTGATACTGATGTTGATCACCTGGCCAAGGGAGTGTTTGTCAGGCTTCTCCGCTGTCAAGTCACTCTTTTGCCATTTTGTTCATACCATATTCTTTGGAAGGAAGCCACTATGTACATCCTACATTTAAAGACACTATTTTAATGGCTACAGAAATATGAATGTATGGCAGCATATTTAACTAATTTCTTTTATGTTAAACATCTAAAGGGTTTTAAACTGGTAATTACTATAAAAGATGTTGCCACATACCCTAACCTAGTTCATCTATCTCTTCACAAACCACTGATTATTTCTTTAGGATAAAAAGCAAAAGTGAAACCTTTGGGTCAAAATATACATAAAGCAGGGAATTTGACCTGTAGTGTCAAATGGACCCCCAGGAACTCCATGCAAACCCAGTCCCACCTGTGGCAGACCTGGGTGAGAGCTTTCTATTTCTTTATATCCCCTGTGTGTGGCTGGAGCTGTTGAGCTTGATGTCAGATGATGCTGCAGCGGTAGGCAGAGACCCAGGTGTGCAAAGAGTTTGCCTTTTCTTCTCAGTATTGCAGGAGGCCATTGGAAGTCCATTAGCTGGGGAGAGATCTGACCTACTTTCTGGGATTTGCACTGTGTCTTCACTTCTTAAAATAATCCCTTAGATTATAGCTGGGTGTTTCTTTTGACCTTGACTCAGAGGTTGTCAAAATAAGAAGGCAGTATGGCAGGGAACCTGCCAAGGTTTCTTATGCCAATCTAGCATGCCATCAAGTGAGGAAACCCAGAAGGTGGGGCTGGAAACAGAAGAGGAAGAGACAAGATGATTTATTCAGAGCAAAGGGGATTCAGGCAGAGGATGGAACAAGGAAGAAAATAGGAAAAGCTTCCCCCCTTGCTGGAGGCTTTCCAAATGACTTCGCAAATGTATTCCATCTTGCGTGCTGTCCATAGTATGGGCATTGAAAAGCAAACAGGAGAGGAAAGTCATAACTCCCAGACAATTTTCTGCTAGTTTTGAGTCTTGGCAGAAAATGTATTACCCAAGATAAGGAGAACATAAGGTAGCCCAGGAAAGAGCTGTTTAGAGATAATTCTCTGTGAGATACTAGATATATCTTTTGGTATGACTTAGTAATTCCTCATGCAAAGATGTTCATTACACTTGGGATGATAAAAGGCTAATATAAAGTACTAGAATCCCCTAAATCTTCATAGCTTTTCAAAAATAAGGATTAAAGAGAATTATAGGGACAGTATGCGAACCATTAAACAGACCCACAAGATAACGTTTCAAACATTTGACGGATAGTTAGATGAGACCAACAAACACATTAAAGTAGAAATTGCCAAGACTTATACTTTTTTCCTCTTGCCATTGATTAGGACATATAAGTACCAAGGTTCCTGAAACATCTCAGAAACTACCAGATGGCTCATCCGTCATAGGGTCTGCTGAGATTTAGAATTAATCTTTAATTACTTATTTATAATTTATAATGACACAGATAGGGCCAGCTCATCCTGCTTGAGTAATTTTCTGTGAGATTAAGTTGCGCCATTTGGAAGGCATATTGACTCTTTCAATCCCTACAGTATTAGGAAATCGTATGTCAGGGTACCAATCATCACGATCCAAACAATCGATATTTATATGAACCTTCTTAAACAGATTGGTGTTGGTGTTCTCATTTTTGTGTGTTATTAGTAAAACCTCTTGGTATCTGAGTCCTGCAAAATTGATGATCAACACACTTTAGCCACTAGGAAAGCTAAAAACATTAGCTCTGACATTTTTTTTCTTTATTTTCCTCTTAACTCAATCATCTTGCCATATAAGAACTGTTTTGTGAATCAAAACAACCAACCCAGCAAGCAAACAAGCAAGTCAACGAACAAACAAACAAACAAACAAAAATTCCCAACGTATTTCTCTTAAGTTGTCTTATTCGTTCATAACAACATACAGGGTATTTTAGGAGATGTTGATCGTAAATATCCATTATTTTGCCTATTTGACATATGTGATACCTCTCTGTAATCAAGTATACAAACCAATAGGAAATGGTCCAAAAAAAAAAAAAAGAAAGAAAGAAAGAAAGAAAGAAAGAAAGAAAGAAAGAATAGAAATCAGTTTAGCAGAAAAACAAACAAACCCCACAAGCCAAAAACAAACCAAAACCAAAACACCTAAGCTAGAGAGTGGACCACATTCGTAGCACCTTCGTTTTAAAAGCAAGAAGACTTTCATGAGCCATTGTAAGACAATAACAAAAGACATGAGAATATATCGGACCAAGCTCTTTTCAGGGTTTGTATCTTGTTTTGGCTGCCCAGAAAGAATCTAGGGTAAAGAATGAAAAATAAATTCTAATTTGAGAGAATTTTCAGAACTAGACTGGGTACTCAATAAAATCTAGTCCAATTTCCTTATTTTAAAGATGGGAAGAATTAAATCCATTGAGGTTTGGTGACTTATCCAAATTCATACATCGAGTTAGTGCAGGGTGATTCATTGAGCATGTGTTCACTGGCTGTATATTGAGTGTTCCTGAATTTTAGGTGCAGAAGATACAGTGGCTAGTAATCTGTCATGGTGCTCACATTCAGAATGACCCCTTGCTGCTCTAATAAATGCTGAAAACACAGAATGTTGTTTAACTTTCTCTAGGAAGGGTGAGGGGGAATAATTGCTCACAAATACATTAAATATCCTAGGAAGATGCTGACCACTTATTATCACCATAGCCATGCAAACAAGGACAAATGGGTCTCTTTTACAGCAGAATATAATTCAGTCAAAAAATAAGAAGCTACTTCTTTAACGTCATGGGGATGATGCATTCAAATTATTGAGGAAATTCATTGGCAGTATAAATTGAAATAGATATTCATCTGTCTTCAACTCTAGTTTTCCCCCAAATTTATTCCTTTTGTTTCTCGACGTCCTGTTTTAAACAAATAATTCTAAGAGTTTTAGTTCCAAAGTTGCTTTTGGTATAAAGCATATCATTGCTACTCTCTCTGAGGTGCTAAAATTAATAAAAACTTAATTTAGCTGTTGTGCTTCTGTGTTTATGCTGAAATTTTTTTCGCAACATACTGATGCCTTGAAATAGCCCACGAAATATGGCACGGATGAGATTTTTAAAAGTTGACTGTAAAGTGAAATGCAGAATTTAACTTCTTAAAAGTTGACTGTAAAGTTAAATTCTGAATTTAGCTTTTAAAAATTTTTATCACTAACTTCACATTAAAATATTGAAACAAGGTACCCAAGGAAATCATTCGGATCCTGATGTTACTAATAGCCTATGATAACATTTCCTATGGGGTGCATTCTCATTTTGTTCAAGACATTTTATAGTTATAAATCCACACCGTCCTTTCAAGTAACCCTATTTTATATGTGTTAAAGGAGAAGGAAACTCAGAAGATGAATTTCCCAAAATACCACCCTAACAACTGGCAGGAAAAGGTTTGGAACTAGAGTTTGATTTGGCAAGAACCTTGAGTAGTCTGAGCTTCAGGACTCTTCATCCACACAGTCCCCTTCTAAGGCCCTGGGAAATGCCCTTGAAATTTGTTTACAGGGCAGGGAGCCCAGTCGTCCCAGTTTGCCGGACACTTAGAGGTTTATCAGGATGCCGGACTTTCAGTGCTGAGGCTGGGACTGTCCTGGGCAAACTGGGATAATTAACCAGCCTATTAGAAAGGGCCATATGCTTACAAAAAAATTTAAAGTGAAGTATTATGACCACAATAGATTAAGACAGCTGCCTTTCTCCACTCCTATTTCCTTCCCTTTTCTCTTACCTCCTCTAGGGTTACTGGAATAACCCCACACATTCTTGGGTTCTAGCCTAGGGAAGCTTGAGTTGCAATTAGTTGTTTCACAGCTACTTCTGTGCACAGTTGAGTATTTGCCAGCCGTCCTGGGTTACAGAGGACATCCAGGCTTGTGCCTATGCCCACAGGGTCAACCCCTCTAGCACTGTGACAAGAGGATGTGGGGGCAGGAGTCAAATGAGGACACACATACATCCTAACAGCACCCAGCACCAGATGTGTATGGACAGTGGAGAGAAAACGGGATATGAAATATATGAAGCAAGGAGTTCTACTAGAGAAAAATCTTCCAAATCTTACAGCCCATAAATGAAAGAAACTTGCAAAGGTTTTCCCAAATTTAACAACAATCCTCAATATATGTGCTATTACCAATAGCAAGTTGTGAAGTTGGAAGAACTCATAATAATAATATTTGTAACTGTCAGTTTCTGGTCAACCATTCTGGAAGGCCGAATTACCTTTCCATTTTCCACATAAAAAAGAAGACAAGATTGTTGTATTAAAAGGTGATCAAAGACTATGCAGCTAAAAAAAAAATGAACATGTAGAAGTAAGGGTCTTATTGAGGTTTGTTGAACAATTAGTAATTGATATACGTATGCTATTTTAAGGATTATTGAGGTTTTATAAAATGTTTAATTTCCTGTTATTTCTCATTTTAAAGAGGTGTTCACTTTTAACCTGATTTCATTTTTGTAAATTTGTATTACATTCTTAAAGAGGGTCGCTAAATTTAAGTGTTAGGCCCTGACACAGTTTGTCCTTGGCTCTGTCCCCACCCAAATCTCATCTTGAATTGTAGTTCCCATAATTCCCTCATGTTGTGGGAGGGACCCAGTGGGAGACGATTGAATTGTGGGGGTGGTTCCCTCATATTGTTCTCATGGTAGTGAATAAGTCTCACAAGATCTGATGGTTTTATAAGGGGAAACTCCTTTCACTTGGTTCTCATTCTTTCTTGTCTGCCACCATGCAAGACAGGATTTTCACCTTCCACCATGATTGTGAGGCCCCCCCAAGCCATGCTGAACTATGAGTCCATTAAACCTCTTTCTTTTGTAAATTGCTCAGTCTCGGGTATGTCTTTATCAGCAGTGTGAAAACACACTAATACAGGCCCCATGAAACTTGAACCCATCCCTGGATGGCCCTAAGGTCTCAGCTGAGTCTGTTTCCTCTGCACTTTTTTTTTTCACTACCTCCTCCGGCACACTTGCCATTTCCCACATGCTTAAAGCTTGTTTCTTTGATGACTGCAGTTGGAACATTTATCGCTGTTGGCAGATAGAAAGAGGGAAAGTTTGAAGAAAAAAATGTAATTTTCTACATCTTCATAAAATGTGATTATGGGTCCGAGCCATGTGATTCAAACAAGAATAGCACATCTCTTAGAGAAACTGATGGGCAGAGGAGGGCGCTTCAATGGCCCGGGTGTAGACTCTACTTGTCTACACAGGTAGAATGTGGGGGCCGAAGCTAGCTGCAGGCACACTCCTTCTCCCTGAAAAGTGTGGTCTTCATTGCTTGATTGACTGTTAGTAGATTGTGCCCTGATGTTATTTTTTAAAATATGGTCCTGCAGTTACTCCCAGGGAATAGGTACTCCATGCTAAGCCCATTCCTCACTGCTTGATGATTTCTTCTGAAGTTCACATCAGCAGCTGTTAGTAGTGAGGCTCATCCTCTTTTTCTTCCTGGGGAGTTTCAGGGTGGGCTCTCCAATCCCAGCCTGCCTGCTGAAACCTGGCTCCTTGTGTGTTGGTGAACAGGTTCAGATTCTTGACTTTTCCACAAAAAAGAATTGGAGGCTGGGCGTGGTGGCTCACGCCTGTAATCCCAGCACTTTGGAAGGCCAAGGCAGGCGGGTCACTTGAGGTCAGGAGTTCAAGACCAGCCTGGCCAGCATGGTGAAACCCTGTGCCTACTAAAAATACAAAAACTAGCCAGGCGTGGTGGTGGGTGCCTGTAATCCCAGCTACTTGGGAGGCTGAGGCAGGAGAAGCGCTTGAACCCGGGAGACAGAGGTTGCAGTGAGCCAAGAATGTACCACTGCACTCCAGCCTGGGCAACAGAGTGAGACTTTGTCTCAAAAAAAAAAAAAAAAAAAAAGGAGAGTGAGTCCAAAGTAAGAGTAGGCAAAGAACTTTATTGCAAAGTGAACATCCACTCTGAGAGGCAGAGTGGGTTGCTCAGAGGGAGAGGCAGCTCCTAGCGCTTTAAGGGGAATTCCCTTTATGGAAACTGCAAAAACATATTCATAAAATACTGCTGAGGTCAAGGATGCAATGTGGACCTGCAATGAGCTTTTGTGCTCAGTGTCTACATGCTCTAACATGCATTGCATATATCATTAGCGTATACAGTCTCCGCCTAGGGGTGTGTTTTTTTACTATTAAAATGAGAAAAAGGTCACAATAAGCTAAACCTTGAGCCTAGCTGTGCATGCCGGACCCCAGAGAAGTCCCTAGCCCTCCCTGCCAAGGCAAGAGTTTGTAGCTAGTAGCTTCTTTGGTGCTGACTGGCTGGGGACTGGGGAAGCTACATCATGAGTTAGGGGTTTTTGTTCCCTTTTCCAGGCCAGGACATATGGGGTATCAGGAACTTGTAACCATCTGGTGGTCTGCTAGTATCTTGTAGGGTTGCTTATCTTGCAAAAGAGTTAGGTGTTGACTCAAGAGGGTGCAAAGATGAGGAGTCTGGTGTGAAAGGGGCATGCGGGGCTCAGCACAGGGGGACAAGTCAATATGGCCTCCTCACTTTGCTTATCCTGACTCACTTTTCCACAGTCTGGAAGTTACCTGTTTGCTATGGACCCTCTCAATCTCAAACTGAACAGAACATTCCTTCTTCTGTTCCTACCGAGTGCTCTTAGGGTTATAGGTTTGCGGTGTTGAAGGTTGTATGGATACTAAATATGCTATTGATTGAAAGTAGCAGTGTTCTAAGGGGTACCCTTTCAAAATGATTTTCTTTCTAGAAGTGTTATTTTGACAGGCAATGCTCCTCAAATACGGACTAACCACATTTTGTCTCTTATTTTACATTTCACACTGCATTTAAAAATACCAGTTTCCATATTTCCATAACAGATGCTGGAGAAGTTTTCTATCTACAACTTTCAGAAGGGAATGTCATTTCATTTAGATTCTAGTTTCTTTCCATTTTATACAATTGTCATTTCTTTTTGTTAATTATGTTGTATGCAATACAATGGAACCATACATTCAATGATATTAGACATGGAAATTCAAGAAAACAATACTCTACCTGAATGACCATGGTAATCCAACTAGTCACAGCAAGCCATGTTTTTCTATATTGGCTAAATGGGCAATGAATAAAATTACTTTGAGGGTGTGTGTGTGTGTGTGTGTGTGTGTGTGTGTTTTCTGCAGGATCTTTGCTTCCTTAACATATAAATCCAATTTGGAAAAAGTGATTCGACTGGAGGAAAAGCCTCAGATGTGGACTACTGCAATATTTAATGTTCAATCAAACTTGCCTCTTTGGGAAAGGGATGGTGATTGGGAGATAGGTTGAGATGATTGTGAAGGTTAAGATTATTGGGTATACCATGTGGCATTTTAACAGGCAAAGCAAGGCTCCCTGGGAAATATTCGTAGCCACTCTATCTTCTCCTATAGCACCACTCAGGACAATATCAGGGACTTCAAACAACAATAGGTTATTTCTGTCTCATGCATTTTATCACAAGCTCCCAGTAGACTCTGCTCATTATGATCAGCCTGGAAGTGAGGCTGACTGGGGAGCTGGCATCAACACTGAGAGAGGGTTGGACAACTCTGCTGCATCTCCCACTAGCAGTGAGCTGGCCCAGCCTGGAAGTGACCTGGGTGCTTCCCTTCACAACTCTTCAGTAGAAATACCATGTGGTCCCCCTCATCCACAAAAGGGCCAGGACGACACCCCTCCCATGCTCCTGGAAGGCGTGAAGGCAGAATTAGTTTCTGAACAGGATGCATGGTTTTCACGTGGCAAATATTTTAGCTTTCCTTCTTTCATCTCTGCATCTATCCATCTGTGCAATGTTCCCACATGCGTGTTTTCAGTTACTAGTAGGTGGAAGTTACAGTGCTACATGCTAGAAAACACAATGATGAAAAGACCTACTTTTTTTTTATTTTTTATTTTTGAGACAGACTCTTGCTCTGTCGCCCAGGATGGAGTGCAGTGGCACGATCTTGGCTCACTGCAACTTCTGCCTCCCGGGTTCAAGCGATTCTCCTGCCTCAGCCTCCCAAGTAGCTGGGATTACAGGCATGCATCACCATGCCCAGTTAATTTTTGTATTTTTAGTAGAGACAGGGTTTCACCATCTTGGCCAGGCTGGTCTCAAACTCCCGGCCTCAAGTGATCCACCTACTTTGGCCTCCCAAAGAGCTGGGACTACAGGTGTGAGCCACTGTGCCCAGCCAAAAGATCCACTTTTTATTCCCAATGTTGGTGAGCACAGTGGAGGGAAAAAAAAATTAGAGGATTTACAAGAGATTGGAAAAGTCCCCTAGTAAATTTTATTGATGTTGAGATTTTCCAGAACTTCCGTAATCTTGGGATAGTGTCATTTTCTCTATCTTAATCCACAGATGCTGAAGATGTATAAAGTGCATTGAAAACTGAAGAGAATTTACTACTTCACCAGTTATTCCTGATACTCACTAAGAATACCTGTTAATGTATAGAACAAGATTAATTTTCATTTATTTTATATCTTAGGAGTCATACACAGGTTTCACTGTAAGAGTAATAAGCATATCATCGATAATTTTGTTGTACAAGTTACAGTGCTACATGCTAGGAGGCACAATGATGAAAAGACCAACTTTTTTTTTTTTGAGACAATCTCCCTCTGTTGCCCAGGGTGGAGTGCAGTGGCATGATCTCGGCTTACTGCACCCTCCGCCTCCCAGGTTCAAGCAATTCTTGTGCCTCAGCCTCCCAGGTAGCTGGGACTACAGGTGCACACAACCAGGCCTGGCTAATTTTTTTTTGTTTGTTTGTTTTGGAAACGGAGTCTTGCTCTGTTGCCCAGGCTGGAGTGTAGTGGTGCGATCTTTGTCTTATCTTATCTTTGTCTCATATAATGCCATGATGTTATTATTAGGAATAATTAACCACAATTAGGAATATCTTGGAACTTGTGGCTTTTTGGCATGTTGCTTTCTGAGAAACATAACACAAATTATCCTTGAAGCAGCCGTTGCGAGGAAAAACATGTCTTTACCAATTCTCACCTCATCTGCTATACTCTTTCCAATAAAAGAAATGAATTGATATTTGATTCGCTGTATTTCTCTTACCATGACTAACGTACTTTGTTGGGATTTTAGAAAGTTAGAAACTTGTTAGTGCATTTGCCTGTTTAATAAAGGGCACAGCTAAGGTCTGAGAACATCTGGTCAAAAGACCGAATCTTCCTCTCCTGTGAAGACTGGTATTTTTATCTGGTCCTCTCAGTTTGTCTGCATAATTTTTCCCTCACAAATTGGTATTTAAACCTCAAAACCTTTAGCTAACTACATCTGTCATTGATATTTTATTGTTTAATTTTCTTTTTATGGAGCCAAATTACATCTCTCCCACATACAGCCGGCGCTTTACATGTCTAATTTGTCGACATGTTCTATAATGATAATTTCATTGATTTAGAAAGTGACATTATGAGCAACATATGTTCAGTTTAGCAGTAGACCTTGTTAAGGCAATCAATTCTTTTCCCCTCCAGAACTCAAGTATATTCCACATTTAGAGGCGGTAGAATCATTTAACCAGTTCATGTTCTCGTGGCTTAACGAGAGAGAGAGAGAAAGAAATCTACCTTTAGGATGTTTTCCTAAAAGAATAAATTCTCACTCTGCAGTTTACAATGTGCATACATTACCACTGTATACCAGAGACAGGTGAAAAGAAACAAAACAGAGCACACATTCAATAAAATAGCAAATGACACAGAAGAAATGCTTTACAAAAGTCCTCCTGCTGTCCCCCACCCTCTCCTATTCACCATGTAACCATAATCATCAGCTCTGCAAATTTATCTTCTGAGAACCTCCAGAGCAGCTGGCACAGTGCCAAATGCCAGGCCTTCCTGGGTGCTTTCCTGCCCCTGTTTCTTTGCTTGCATTTTTTTCTCTCTCTTTTTTTTTTTTTTTTTTTTTTGAAACAGAGTCTCATGCTGTCACCCAGGCTGGAGTGCAGTGGCATGATCTTGGCTCACTGCAACCTCTGCCTCCTGGCTTCAGGCAATTCTCCTGCCTCAACCTCCTGAGTAGCTGGGATTACAGGCGCACACCACCACGCCTGGCTAATTTTTGTATTTTTTTTTTTTTAATTTTAGTAGAGATGGGGTTTTGCCACGTTGGTCAGGCTGGTCTCAAACTCCTGACCTCGTGATCCACCCACCTCAGCCTCCCAAAGTGCTGGGATTTACAGGCATGAGCCACCGCGACTGGTCACATTTTTTTTCTCTACTCCATACTTATCAGAAAAAAAAAATCATTCTCATTTTTCAAGATCCAGCTCAAAGGTCATCTCTAGACAGAGACTTCCCCAACCCTCTCTCTTCTCCCAACCCAAGTCAGCATGAGTCATGACACCTCTACCTGTGGCTAGTGTATGCAGCCGACTCTTCACTCTTCTGTAAGCAACACGGGGAGAATCTTATTCATCTTTGTGTCCCCAGCAGCTCCGTGCCAGGCTTATTGTAGCACTCAATAAAAATGAATTGGATTAAAGATAAAATATTTTCTATTTGACAAAGTAACTGTATACCATAAAGGAATCTCTAAGATGACACTCTGTTTTCTTTTCTTTTCTTTCTTTCTTTTTTTTTTTTTGAGACAGAGTCTTGCACTGTTGCCCAGGCTGGAGTGCAGTGGTGCGATCTCAGCTCACTGCAACATCCGCCTCTTGGGTTCATGCCATTCTCCTGCCTCAGCCTCCCGAATAGCTGGGACTACAGGTGCCCGCCAGCACGCCCGGCTAATTTTTTGTACTTTTGGTAGAGACGGGGTTTCACTGTGTTAGCCAGGATGGTCTCGATCTCCCGACCTCATGATCCACCCGCCTCGGCCTCCCAAAGTGCTGGTATTACAGGCATGAGCCACCGCGCCCGGCCCTGTTTTTCTTTATAGTGCAATCAAGGGCAGATGTTCTGTGTTGTGGATGATGATGACATATAAAGCCAGCTTGGAGTTTAGTTCCGTATCAATATAAAGTGAAGTGGTTTAGAAATGATGCGGGAAATATTGGGAGGAACTTAAAAAATGTCTAAGAAAGTTAGGACAGGTGGCTTCATAAAGAAAGTGGCATAGGAAAATGGAAGCAAACAGATGAAACCCTTAGAGGGATCTTATTTTTCCCTGAAAGGGATTCCTGGAATTTGACTTATGGTGGGAAATCAACAGCATTTACACCTCCTGATAGGGTTTGGATCTGTGTCCCCACACAAATCTCATGTTCAACTGTAATCTCCAGTATTGGAAGCGGGGCCTGGCCGGAGGTGATCTGATCGTGATGGGTGATTTCTAACGGGTTAGCACCATCCCCTTAGTGCTGTCCTAGTGACGGAGTTCTCACGAGATCTGGTTGTTGAAAAGTGTGTGCTGCCATCCCCCTCTCTCTTCCTCCTACTCCAGCCATGAGAACACACCTGCTTCGGCTTTGCCTTCCGCCATGAGTCAAAATTTCCCGAGGCCTCCTCAGCCACGCTTTCTGTACAGCCTGCAGAACCGTGAGCCAATTAAACCTCTTTTCTCTATAAATGAACCAGTCTCAGGCATTTCTTGATAGCAATGTGAGAACAAACTAATACACTTACTATACTATGCGGTAATCATAGTACATATAGCATCATTCTTAATACTAAAGGATTAAATTGTTTGAGGTAGGTGCTTATAAAGGTAGGAAACTAGGACAACATTTAAACATTTTCCCCCCAAAGTAAACATTACTACAGAAAATCTGAGTCCCAGTTCATGACCAAATGGAGCAAACACATTTCTCCCTATTCCTCCTGTTCAGTGCAGCCAAACACCCTGAACATTACACAATGAAACAAACTTAGGAAGATTCTAAAAGCGGGAGAGAGAAAGGCAGGTCGGTGAGGTACCTTGGGACTCGATGAACGATATGGTGGGTTTTCTTTTTGCCTTAATTAAATTTCCCTGGTTGGGAACTCTAGAAGCTGATGACCTAGAAACTCCAATGAGAGCAGACAAAACATGTCAGCAGAAACGGCTGCTCTGTCTAGCCAGAGGATCAAGAGAAGCACAATCTAGAAAGGCAGAAAACACATGGACAATGACCCCTGGACACCAGCCAAACACAACGGAAAAAGCCGTGCCACCCTCTTAGCCTTGGATGCCAACCCTCTACTTCACCCCTAGGCATGGAGTAAATTCTGAATCTGGAGCCACTAAGATGGACCTGGAGGAAAACCCTAAGAAGCCGACTGAAGGTGTGTTGGTGTCCTCAGTGGGGTGCTGTGTCCCCATGAGGAGGGACAGCAATTCTGAGGGTGACTGAGGCTGCAGCTGCTATAACATGCTGAACTTTCTTGTGACAAATGGTCTAGATTGTTTTAAAAAAGGAAAAAGCAAGAATGAGTCCTTCTGGCTTTTAGTTTTGCATAAATTATGTTTCAAATCTTTACATTTCAGAAATAATCATTGCTGGAAATTCTGTTAAATGTTTTGGAACTCTTTTTTTTTTTAATTGTAGAATTTTCTCTAAAAAAACTAAAACCAGCTATCGGTATGGCAAAATAAATAATAAATAATAAATAAATAAGGGAAGGAAGGAAGCGAACTGGAGCACTGAATGGTATACCAGGCAACCCGAATATCGTTCTGCATTTAGTGATTATAACACGTCGCCAAGAGAGTCATCATCATAGCCTGTATTTACTACACCTAGAAAATGCTGCTCACAGAGCTGGTATTATTGGCCCAAGTTGACAAGCTCCCATGAGGAAGAAATGGGATTAGAAAACAAGTCCGTCTGGCTCTCAGCCTCTGCTTGTTCCATTTCCACATGTGGCTTGAAGGCTGTATCCAAGGTAGAAACTCAAGTTACTAGAGTTGAAATGTATTACAATGAAGTTGGGATTTTCTCTGGCAGTCTAAGGAGGACCACCAGCCGTGAGTATACATTACATCAGGCAATAAATGAAGAAATCTTTTTTGTTCTTCACCCGTCACAATCCCGTACTGTTGCGGACTATTTAATAGCTACTACATTTCACCCCAGGTGATGGAATCGACCACTTGGATTCAGTTTGTTTATCACCCTGTCAAACTAGAGAGGTGCTCTCTCCTCCTTTGACAGAAAGAACACCCTGAATAGAGGTCAACATTTACTGATGTAGTTATATTATTACTGTTAGGTAATTAGAGTCACTTTTCAACTTGTATCCAAAAACAAACAAAAAAATTGATTTGTCAGTAATACAGAAAGAAAGCCACCCTTAGGGAAATTAGAGTTGATAATGGAGCTAAGAATTGGAATACTGGTAAAAAGCTAAAGTAAACCCCAAAGTAATTCACAAAAGTTAGTGCTAACATTGAACACATTTTCAAAACAGAATAAAAGAGGCTTTGAAAAGTGGTTATACTAATCAGAATGAAATGTCTTACGTAGCTGCCACCTTCTAGGTTTTATGACTCAACTAAAAATCATGCCCCCTTCAGAGCTTTCTGAATTTATGTCAAATTTGCCATCACTTGTAAATATCCCAACAGATACAATCATTAAATCAATTCCACAAAGCCTTTTTGAGCCATTTTTAAAGAAATTTAGGGGCTACAATCATTTACAGGAGGTAAGGACTTGAGAGAAAGATAGGATAGAAAATTAGTCCTTTTCAGTTTGAAGCCCTTTGAGTGTAACTGACCACACCCACATACTTAGGTTGCAGAATAATCTCGCACTTTTCTTTTTTCTTTTTTTTTTTTTTTGAGACGGAGTCTTGCTCTGTTGCCCAGGCTGGAGTGCAATAGCATGGTCTTGGCTCACTGCAACCTCCGCCTCCTGGCTTCAAGCGGTTCTCCTGTCTCAGCCTCCTGAGTAGCTGGGATTACAGGCACCTGCCACCATGCCTGGCTAATTTTTTTGTATTTTTAATAGAGATGGGGTTTCATCATGTTGGCCAGGCTGGTCTTGAACTCCTGACCTCATGATCTGCCCGCTTTGGCCTCTGAAAATGGTGGGATTACAGGCATGAGCCACCATGCTGGGATTACAGGCCTGAGCCACCACACCCAGCCTAATCTTGTACTTTTAAAGCAAAAAGATTCTAACAGCCCAGGAGGCCTTCACTTTATCAATGAGGAAATTGAGACCAAGGGACATGAAATGAATACCCCAAATTTGTCCATCCTAGAAGAGAAGGCTCCAGGACAAGAACGCGACATGGTTAATGTAAAAAAGTTTTAATTTTTTTGGTTTTCACTTAAAATAAAAGAATGAAATTTTTATGGAAAATGCAGAGATGAGGTGATTTACAATGGTTACAGAGTTCAAGAGCAGGGCCTCTCTTTCTGCTTCTTGAAGTCAGCTAGGCTTGATACATAAATGTGAAGAATTCAACTTTTCATTATTGAATGTATCAGTGTATTGATTCTAAAGTGCTTTAACGTATTGATATGAAAGATTACTGGTACATTGGAGATGAAATAATCATAGTTGCATTTTTTTAAAAAAAACCTTAGTCTTCCTACTAGCCTTATAGTAATATTTGGGGCTCCCATACCTCCAAGAGGCGAAGAATGTTGTCAATGAGATGTGACTTCAAATAAAGCTCACAAATCATTTTCAAAATGCATTGGCTGTTCACGGAATACATATTGTGCTTTAAATTTTCACCTCCTCTAAAATCCCCTTTCTCGTCCTCCCAGAATGGTACAAAGATACTTCCAGAAATTCTCTATGCTTTAGTCCTTTGTTCTCAAACATCACCAACTCCCTTTTCCATACAAGTGGTGGAGTTATGTGCTTTAAAAAAAATGAGGAACTGTGTACACTGGGCACCTTAGAAGTCTTGGTCAAGATTCAAAAAATGGATTCACATTTTAAGGCAAAAGCTAATTGGTAAAACATTTGGAATTTCTGGAAGAACCTCTCAAACACTGTTCAAATTAACTAAGAATTGAAGATACATTTGCAAAACACTCATGGAGTCCTTATTGTCTCCAATAGGGCAGCTCTCTGTTGATGCATCTGTTTTAGAAGACCCTGAGAATTTCCTCTCCAGGATGCTGGAGACATTGCTTAGAAACAGTTCAGACCAACAGAACTTCCATTTCAGATGACCAAAAGTCAAGACATAGTTGACGTTTACTTTAGACAGCTAGACTCATTCTTTATACTCACAGCGCAATGCTTCCCATTAAAACAACAACGACACCACCACCTGTTCTGAGGAAACTCCAGCCATGTACAAAAAAACGATGAATTTAGGGAATGGTCCATATTTCCGATTGACTACAGCTGGTTCAAAAATCCTTGTTCCTCATAGATACCATGAATTAAAACTCAGAGAAAAGATAAAACATATGAATATTATAGTACATAATGATGGATGAGGGAGGAATCAATTTTGTAGATGTTCACACTTCCTTTTAATCGAATAAGATGAATATCAACATCCAAAATGAAGGAAGAGAGGTACCATTTTCTTGTCATAAGAGGGAGGGCCTTGCTCTATTATCTCTTAGCCTGCCCAGTTCTGAAATCTCAGTATTGCTGTCACTCTGCCCCAGTCAACATAATCCAGGTGGTTATTTTAAAAAGAAATGCTACAGTCAGCTTCTGGAAATATAGTGATAACTTTCAGGTCACTCACAGAAGTCATTGTTAATTTTTCCCATCACCCCTGGCTGGCTGGTCATAGAAAATCAAGTGTCTTTGCTGGTTCATACACAGCAGTCTCTTTCTCTGTGGAAAGTCACATGTTGCTGCTTTTTAAGCAATAAGCTATAACATTCTATTCTTGAAAAGAGCAGAAGTTTTTAATTATAAAAATAATCTTGTTTTAAGGGCTTGGCTCTCAGTCAAAGAGTTGAGAGGAGAAAAGAAAAAGGGACATAGTTGTGTTTTCAATTTTTCAATTCAGGCTTTAAGGAGACTGCCCTTATTTAATTTCTTTTAGGGAACAAGGCTATTTAAGCAATGCAAATTCTTATGGGTCTACAGGTATTTCTTACCTCTGAAATTCTTTCAAATATTTTTTAACATGCACTATTCAAAGGCATGTAATTTTAATAAGCGTTTTTTTTTAAGTTTTTTATTTTTTATTTTTAGAAAGACGGTTTTGCTTTGTTGCCCAGACTGGAGTTCTGTGACTATTCACAGGTACAATCACAGCTCACTACAGCATCCAACTTCTGGGCTTAAGCAATCCTCCTGCCTTGGCCTCCAAGTAGCTGGGACTACAGGTTTGTGCCACCAGGCCTGGCTCTTTTATTTTTATTTTTTGTAGAGTTGGGATCTTGCTTTGTTGCCCAGGCTGGTCCCACTCCTGGCCTCAAGCAATCCTCCTGCCTTAGCCTCCCAAAGTGCTGGGATTACAGGCATGAGCCACCATGCCTGGCCAACACTTTATGTTTATATATCATTTTACTATATTTAAAAAGCTTTCCTGAACTATGCCTCGTTTAATCATTAAAATGGGCATAATAGGTTTCATGACCCTCAATTTACAGATGAAGATGCTCATTAATTCATTCCTCAAACCCTGAACCCATTGCACATGCCAGGCTCTGGGATCTATCCAGAGATGAAAGCATTCCTCTGGAGTAAAGTGATCAGAAGGAGCTGAGAGGGGGAGAAATGCTGTTCTATAGACCCCCAATGTGCTGTAACTGACTGTGTTTAGTGATTCTGAAGAGAAGCCACGTATGGAATGGGAAGTGGATATATCAGTGGTTTACCTAGAGGGAACTTTTAAAAGGTGATATGTCTATAGTCCAGAGGAAATGCAAATCCTTCCTAAAAATTAAAATTTAATTCAAGAAAATATTTATTGCACTCCAGTTTCAAAAGACGATAAGAAGGAAGATAAGAAAGGGCTAAGGTGTTGATGAGGAGAGGAAGCATTAGTAGGTATTGAACACTGAAGTATTATTTTGTTCCAAAACTTCCACTTGGTAAACATTAATCAAAGAGAACAAATAGTAGCTTTGCGTTTTACCAATTACTTTTCTAAAGAGACACTCAATATTTGATGGTTGGGTATAGATTGCTTCTAAATTCCAAGTGTATCTCCGTGTAGATTAACAGGGGTAAAATGCATTAAGTATGTGTAAACAAATGATTAATATTTCAAACTAGATCTATTTGGCTACTTTTAAAGATTGACCTCAGCCTACTTCAAAACCTCTGCCCAAACCCAGCATTTGGCTTCTCTCCCCAAATAGTGCAGGAATAACTTTTCATCAAAAGCAGTTGCATGTGACATTAAGGTTTTGAATTTAAAATAAGATATGCTTTTAAAAACTCATAAAATGCAAATGTTTATAGTCTCTGAGCAGAAGTTGCAATCTGTGCGAGAGTGCTTTACCCACACCAAATTGACTAAAACATCACCTGTCTAATGTGGCTTAATTATTTTATTAATCTGTGTTACTAGGCAGAACATTTTGTTTCACATCCAGTGGGTTTTAAATGATAGTTCTAGGATTTGCATTCATATTTTTCCCCCAACTGGCTTTCCTAAGATTTTTATTTCTGCTTACTTTATTGTGCTTTATAGGCTGAATTCAATTGCAGAAGGAGAGGGCAAAAACGGCCTCAGGCAAAAGCCCAGCCAAGCCCACCCAGGTTACATGCAACAGTTGATCATCAAGATGACTTGGGTCCAAACCAAGAGACTGGACTCGTGATTAACGAGGGTTGCTTTGGATAAAGAGGTTTAAATAGGCAGACCTAAATGATGCTTTGTAGAGTGTCATATTATCTTAAAATTTCTCTCTATTTTTTTAACCGAGAATATCTTGTCAGCGTTCGCTATAGGCTGTGATGATACAATCTTTGGCATTGCAGCTTTCTTCTAAAAATCCTTGCTCCCCAGATTCTGTACCATTGGGTCTCCCAACATAGGGCCACAGATAAAGGTGGAGAAATGAGTTAGGGAAGGGGTCTCATATCTAAAGAAACTGTCCTGTTGTTTGTGGCGCTTTTCATAGGTGATCACATGTAATCATTTACGCGATCACCCAAAGGGGGTGCTGGCAATGAGAGCCATCTCCGGGCAGCTCCAAAAGCAAGGAGAAAGGAAGCAGATTAATGGTAGGCAGGAAACACGCTATTGAAGACGACAGCAGTCCTTTACCTTTGCCTGATATTCTACAGTAAATGTTATCATATTTTAAAAACTTATTTAATTCAATGAGCCTATGAGATAAGTAGATTTAATATCCCTATTTATAGATGAGTTGCCTGCCGTAAGTCCTGCACAGTGGTAGTCAAGGGCAGAGCCCCAGCGCTTCTGACGACAACTCAGTTCCCACCATCCCACTGTCTGCCCTTCCTCTCCTCATGAAACGCAGCCCAAGTGGATCCACAAGATAGGGCTAAGTTATGTTCACTTAGGACCAAATTAGATAGGAGGAAATGATGATATTCAGAAAGATGAAATGGTTAATAACAAAATATTATTACCCACCTTTGTGGATGGCTGTCAATGAACTGAAAACGGCTGTTTTTGTCTCTTTCAGACTAGGTTATGAATTGCTCTAATCCCCACCGCCCAAATCAGAATCAATAGCTAACATTTGCTGAGTGCTTACTATGTACTGGAGGCTATGCTAATGGTTTTACCTCTATTGAGCCTTATAATAACTCTGTTGGGTAGATAGGTCCCATTTTTATTCCTACTCTACAGATTAGATGAGGCACAGAGAGGTTAGGGTCACAGAGCAAGGTGATACGTGGAAGGGTCAGGAATGGAGTGAAGAGCAATTGGCTCTAGGGTGATTATGCAGTTCAGGAAACTGAAGAGAGTGCTTGGCTAGGCTATCATGCAACATATAAAAGCAATCAATATAGGCTGGGTACACAGTGGCTGACTCTTACAATGACAGTGCTTTGGGGGGCCTAGGTGGGAGGATGTCTTGAGGCCAGGAGTTACAGACCAGCCTGTGCAGTATACCAAGACCCCATCTCTACGAAAAACAACAACAAAAAAAATTAGCCAGGCCTAGTGGAACATTCTTGTAGTCCCAGCTACTTGGGAGGCCAAGGTGAGAGGATCACTTCAGCCCAGAACTTTGAGGCCGCAGTGAGCTATGATTGCGCCACTATACTCCAGCTTGGGCCATAGAGTGAGACCCTGTATCATTAAAAAGTATAATAATAGGCCGGGTGCGGTGGCTCACGCCTGTAATCCCAGCACTTTGAGAAGCCGAGGTGGGTGGATCAAGAGGTTAGGAGTTCAAGACCAGCCTAGCCAACGTGGTGAAATCCCATCTCTACTAAAAATACAAAAAATTAGCTGGGCTTGGTACATGCCTGTAGTCCCAGCTACTGAGGAAGCTGAGGCAGAAGAATCGCTTGAACCCAGGATTGTGCCACTGTACTCCAGCCTGGGTGACAGAGTGAGACTCTGTCAAAAAAAAAAAAAAAAAAAAGAGAATAATAAAGCAATATAAAGCTTCCAGTAACTATTTCAGAAAAACAGTTAGTCTGGCTTTCTTACAATCAATGGAAATATTTGAATAATTATTTATCTTTGCTGCTTAAAATATTTGGGCTCAAGAACCCTGGGGAATTGGTATAGAGAATAATCATGTTTCCTATCAGCAGGTGACAAGTTCACTTACCATTTATAGGAAACCTGCTGGTTCTACTCTTTCCCTGGGTGTGATGAGGACACAGCAGCAATAGCTGCACAGAGCATGGTGTCTGGTAGCTTAACTTGGGTCAGTTTCCTGGAGGAGACGTCACAGTGACACCTAGGTTTCAGCCAAACTTTTTTTTTTTTTTTTTTTTTGAGACGGAGTCTTGCTCTGTCACTCAGGCTGGAGTGCAGTGGCGCGATCTTGGCCCACTGCAACCTCTGCCTCCTAGGGTCAAGCAATTCTCCTGTCTCCGCCTCCCAAGTAGCTGGAATCACAGGTGCCCGCCACCATGCCCGGCTAATTTTTGTATTTTTAGTACAGAGGGGGTTTCACCATGTTGGCCAGGTTGGTCTCGAACTCCCGACCTCAGGTGATCCACCAGTCTTGGCCTCCCAAAGTGCTGGGATTACAGGCATGAGCCACCGCGCCTGGCCAAGAAATCATGGATTTGTCTGTGGGGAATTGAGGAAGTGAATGAAAGGGTAAAGGAACACACAGAATGGAAGCGTTTTTGGTTCAAATTCACTAGTGGTCTTTGCTTTCCTATTAAGAGCAAGATAGCACTCACTTTGAAATAAGGCTCTCAGATGTGTTTATGCAAAATTTTAGAAGTTTAAAGAAAATTGAATTGGTTTGTTGGGCAAGAAAGCCTTTATAGGTAGCTTCATCCTTTTAAGATTTCATGTTCCATATTCCAGAGATAATAATTATCTTCTTTGTTTTTAACACCAAAGACGAAGTTATATAATCTACATGAATGCCTCTTGTTATTGGAGTGAAACAATTACAGATCATTAATTTGACTGTATAAGCTCACTAGGAAACAGAATTCTGCCATTATTTTAATTATTTATAATAATTTAAGAACCCTGGGGAAAGGTGGGAACAAAGAAAATTTTCCCAGAAAATTAATATCCACAGAGACACTAACAGAAGCCTAGAGGATAGCACCCTCCTTTGAAAGAAGTAGGGAGAAGTATTCCGGGCAGAATACATTTTTCTGGATCAAGTAGAACATCACATAATTCCTGCCCTCTTCCTCCAAAGGACCCTGATTCTTTTTTCTTTGCTTTTGATTTGTTGTTCATTTAAATTACCACATACAATGGTGATAAATTCTTCCTGCATTTTACTTCCTATAGGCCAACATATGACTTAAAAGGTAGTGAAAAGCTATATCTCATTTGGGAGGCATGAGGTTAACCATTTTAAACATAAAATGTTTCATTTCCATTTACGTGAGAAGAGAGAACTAAATATAAATTTATTTTTTTCACATAATGGGCTGAAATTTTCTTTCATGAATAAAAGTAATGGCTTATAAATTAGTTTAAAAAGACATTCAAGGGGCTGTTTTGATTAGGTGTCTGTATTTGACTAAGATACTTTTTTTTTTTAATAAGTTTCATTGCCTTTGGTGACTCCTCAAAGGAAAGAGAAAACTAGTAAATTAAAGGTACATGCTAGCACGTTAAAAAAATTTCCAAAGGCAGGGCACAAATTATTTTATTACCACACCAACTGAGCCATTGCTACTTCACAATTCATGAACAAATTTTCCATTACTATAGAGTCATGCTTTTATTGACTGTCATAAAATCACCATTTGTATCTTTTTTATCCCGCTGTGTTTCTATTTGATTGGAAAAGTCCTGTAACAGGTATAACATCAGCTCAGGTTACCAAGAAATCTATAAAATAGCTTCCTGCTACTACCTTTGGTACAGATTGAAAGAATACATTATGATCCCACTGAGTCCCTGATAAAAACTGATTCACGTGCCCGCATGCTTTATCCTTAACTGTTAGATATCTGGGCTTTATCTGCTCTATTAAATTACACGAGCATTTCACTGGTATTGATTAGTTATGTTAGGCTTAATTAAAGCATCTGGGTCATGAAATTTAGGCACAAACTTTGGCCATGGAAATAAAAGCAGAAAAAAACCTCAAAATGTTGCAGCGAAAGTGTTGGAATGTTCCAACAGCAGGTTATCTTTGCTTTGGTGGAAAGTTTGGTTGCCAGTGCTTGTGTTGAAACTGATCACCTTGGTCTCTGATACTTAGATGTGGTGTGCACCTGGGGTTGCAATGAAAACAAAGGAAAGAACATGACCATAAACTGATAGTTGCATTAACTAACTCAATTTTATGGCTACACTTCCAAAAAGCCAAACTAACAAAAAAGGAAATAGGTTTAAATGTTCATTCTCAATGATTTTTTTTCCCCTTTTTGAGACTGAGTCTTGCTTTATCACCCACGCTGGAGTACAGTGGTGTGATCTCAGCTCACTGAGGCCTCGACTTCTTGGGCTCAAGCGATCCTCCCACCTCAGCCTCCCCAGTAGCTGGGACTACAGGCGTGTGCCACCATGCCTGGCTAATTTTTATAGTTTTAGTAGAGGCGGGGTTTCGCCATGTTGCCCAGGCTGGTCTCGAACTCCTGGGCTCATCTGCTCACTTATGCCTCCCAAAGTATTGGGATTATGGGCGTGAGCCACTGTGCCCGGCCTCAATGATTTTAACAAACAGTAAGTACTTATTATATGTTAGAACTTTCATGAACTATTTGACTCATGTCTTTAGGATATTAACAGAAGAATATCATTGATCAAAATGGCTCTCAATTGCTGACGGTATCAGGATTTACATGGATGACTATATATCCAGGGGCCACCTAGGAAAGACAGTTGGATTCATCCTTTCTTCCCTCCTACATTGTTTCCATTGATGTTCAAATAGAATTTTTCTAACTAACAAAGAATGAAGTTTGTTTTTAAAATGCAGAGAGAACTGTATTGGGACTATATCAACTCAGGTGATGTCAAAAGAACAAGTCACCCCAAATGAGGGCATATGCAGAAAGGTTCAATATTTCACAGATGCCAGGAACTAACTTCCTGGTCATGTGTTCCTTATAAATGCAAAGGATATACCAGTTTAAATATCACTATTTCTAGGAGCTTTGTGCATAGCTATTTATGCTTCCCAGAGAGTTTTCAGATAACTTATCCTTACAGCAACCCTATATGGCAAGCAGAGAGAGGAGTTATTTTAGTCTCTGGGAAAATGATGGTTGTGTAAGGGGAATAAAACTAAATCCTTGTTCACCAACTCTTCTACCAAAGAGGTTTTGGATAATGCCTTGGGAATGTTTTATTTCATAGAACAATCCTACAGTGATTCTATCTGTGTTATTTGAACCCACAATATTATGTAAAATAGATCAATAAAAGGAATCATAATTTAAGTTTTTTCTTTTAATTATAAAGGTAGTAAACAGTAAATATGGAAAAAGATGCTCTCATCAAAGAATAGGAAACAATCTTTGACCAAGAACAAAGATTCAGCAACTTGAAAGTAGAAGGATATACTGAATGCTAAACAAAGGAACTATAATTAAAACATTTCATTTATACAATTTGATTGTCTAACTTAAGGGTAGGAAGATGGACTGTTGAAAATTCTATGGAGCTAGTAAGAAACACAAATTTTTTCCCCAGTTACTGAAAAAGCAAAAGGTGCCTTTTCTCTCCTTCATAGCCTTTGACTAACTATATTAACTATTAATGTCTTATTTTATATCACGGTTTTGTGCTTTAAAATGATCCATGAAGTTCTTAAAATGTTAACATACTTTGCTATTGACTCACTTAATGATTTCAGAGATGCTTTATTTTTATTTCTGGGAGCTCTTCAATTGGTTATGGCTGCTAGAATTTGAACTTTAAATCTCCTTCTTTCTGTCACCTAGGTCCAATAATAATCTCTAAGCAAACACTTAAAAACACAGGAGAACTCTTTAATAAAGTCACCCTGCGATGAATCTTTGGTATGGTGGAAGTAAAATGCCTTTGTAATAACAACTATTTCCAATAAGTCAGATTTTTTTTTTTTTAAATAAGGCTTCTTAAATGTATTAAGTTCGTTTGGAGTGGGGATGAGAAGACAGAGGATACATTCTTAGAACTTAGCTAACATAATTATTTGTCAATTCAACCGTAAGCATGTGGATGCCAAAAGATGCATTTAAACATGCCCACTTTTACATTTTGGAGAAGTTATTTTCCCTGTGATTAAAAGGTATCCCTTCTAAAGAACTCATCAAAAATCCCCCATCCCTCTTAGCCCTGAGATGATTGTAATTCTGTCAACATGTCGTAGGGGCATATATAATCTTCTTTTATTGTGTCAGCCTGCAGGCACTCTTGATCTCAATTGGTGTGAATCTCATTTAATTGCTGAACTGTGGAAAGATGCAAGGTAGTCTGTGATTTTTTTTCCCCTAGTTCACACTTTCTTTTCCTCTTGAAGCTAAACATGTCTAGCCGGCAGAGCTCCCTAATTCTTGATGGCTAGCTCTAATTAGTTATAATTCAGCTACCATCCTGTTTTATATTCCAGGTCAATACTAGTAATTGCACTGCATTCTTTCTTTACTTTTCCAGACGAAAATTTCTTTTACCAAAGAAAATGCTGATGATGTTGGCAACGACCATGCAATTACAGACGAAATAACAGTGGTATACATGCAAAAAATGAGCTTCAGAAAGTTGCCAAAATTTAAAAGCTTTTCTTGAGGGAATTTCACATTTTCTAGTGGCCAAAAGATGTTTAATATTTTGGGGGAGCGATGTCTTTAATCACCATCTAAAGACTACCTGAAAGTAGGGTCTTCGTGTTGGTCTTATTGCTCTCAAAGTCCATCTATACCCATATTTCCTTTTTCTTTTCTTTTTTTGAGATGGATTCTCACTCTGTTGCCCAGGCTGGAGTGCGGCGATGCAATCTCCACTCACTGGAATCTTCACCTCCCAGGTTCAAGCTATTCTCCTGCCTCAGCCTCCTGAGAAGCTAGGATTACAGACACGTGCCGCCACACCCAGCTAAGTTTTGTATTTTTAGTAGAGATGGGGTTTCACCACGTTGGCCAGGCTGGTCTCGAACTCCTGATCTCAAGTGATCCACCTGCCTCAGCCTCCTAAAGTGCTGGGAATACAGGCATGAGCCACCGTGCCCGGCCTATCCCCATATTTTCTTTTGTTGCTAGTTCAAGTCATTTACAACAGTTTATCCTGTCCTTGACTCAATTGCATATGAATAGGTCTTAGAGGTAATCAAAAATGTGAAAGCAGAATTGCATGGCATACCAGAATTTGAAGCTGTCTCAAAACAGTAGTTCACCTGAATAGTTCATATATCAAAATCACCGAAGGGTCGTAGGTGATTATCTGCAATTCTCAACATGGATAACTGCACTCTGCAGGTAGGCAGGCACATGACACAACCAGGCAGTTGCCTTACTCAGCAGCATGTAACTTGTGATGGGTTCTTCCATTGTTTAGATGACATCTAGATAGTCAGCCCCAAGTGTTTACTGAAGTTCTCTGTGTCAGGCACTGTTCTAGGCTCTGGGGACACAGCAATGAACACCGTAGAGTCACTGCTGACAAGGGACATGCCTTCCAGTGATGAGAACAAGCAATGCGTACATAAAAAATAAGATAATTTCAGGAATAGACATTATGAGTAAGAGAAAAGAGGTTAATGTTCTGCTTCTGTGACAGAAGGTGGGGCTGCTCTAGCAGGTTACGAAGGCCTTTTGAGGAAAGACCATTGGGGATAGGGGAAGGATTTAGGAAAGGGTGTCAGAAACAAAAGGAACAGTAGGCAAAGGTTTTCTAATGGAAGCAAACTTAATGTATTGTAGAACAGAAATAAGGTCCATTGGGACCATTTTGTTGGGATGGACAGGAAGGATGGTGGAGGTAAGGGCCAGGTTTTGGAGGCCTTGCCTATTTTACCAAGGGCTGGGGCTTAGCTCAAGTATCATGGGAGCAGAGGATTTCAAGCTTTTGAAAGATTGCTTTGTTGACGGAGCAACATTTGGGAGATGATTGGATTCATCCAGGAAGGAGATACCAGTGGTGTGCACTAGGATGTAACTAGCAGTGGAGAAGGTGAGTGGTGGTGGAAGTTGGAATATATTTTGGAGAGCAAAGCAAAGAAAGGATGACTCATAGCCTGAGAGATGATGGAGGCATGAGTGAACTAATGGGTAGAAGTGAATATGGAGAATCAAACGTCTGTACTTTGGCCGTGTTAAGTTTGAAATACCCATTTCAGATGAAGATGCCAGGTAGGAGTTGGATGTCTGAATACTGGTCTCAGTAGAATAGTCTAGGCTGTGAAAATATTTCATTGCTGGTTGTATTTGAAACCATGGGGCTAGATGCAATCACTCAGAAGAGGGTAGGAAAGGAGGGCCTATAAACCTTGCAATATTTATAGCTTTGGTTAAAAAAAAGAGGGTCCATTAGAGGAGCTTAGAAAAAAATGGCCTACAACCGGTGATGTAGTAGAGAAACTAGGCAAATATAAATCATGGAAGTCAACAGAATAAAGTGATTAGAGAAGCGTGTAGTCAACCATGACAAGTGCTACTGAAGTGCGAATTAAGAGCTGCACACTCTGAACGTTCTTGTGTCTTCTGAGGAGCCAAAGCTTCTCTGATGGATGGACGTGGGTGTGATCTATCATGTAAGCCTCAGATGACCTGCCATTCAAAGGCCATGAACTTGCCCTATTCTGAGAGATTCCAGTTTTTTTTTTTTTTTTTTTTTTTTTTGTCTCTATCCTACCAATTTCCAAGGGACTATATATAGTGAATCTGGGAAGACATGCTAAATCTTCTGAGATGAGGAAATTCAGGGAAAAGTGGCTCCCAAACTATTCTATAAACAGGAAAATGATGGCCTTGGGATGTTGAGAACTGCTCGGCTTCTTCCTTGCACATCCAGACATAAACATTTAGCCATCCTCCCAATAGGTGAACTGGTAGTGAAACAAATACATTCACTTTTTACCCTCTCTATTTGTTTTCTTTCTTTTTATGAGATGGAGTCTAGCTCTGTCTCCAAGGCTAGAGTGAAGTGGCACGATCTCGGCTCACTGCAACCTCCACCTTCGAGGTTCAAGTGATTCTCCTGCCTCAGCCTCCCAAGTAGCTGAGACTACAGGCATGCACCACCATGCCTGACTAATTTTTGTATTTTTAGTAGAGACGGAGTTTCACCATATTGGCCAAGCTGGTCTCAAACTGCTGACCTCAAGTGATCTTCCTGCCTCAGCCTCCCAAAATGCTAGGATTACAGGCGTGAGCCACCGTGCCTGCACCCCTGCCTCTATTTTCATGGTGCATGTGGTTACTTTTTATAACTAACCTCCAGATGTACAAACTGGGGCAATTGCTCCAGGTCACCTCTGCTCTGTGCAGGTCAGGAATGGACTTTGGAGACTGGACAATGAACACAGTACCCCAGGGACTCAAATGCAACCCAGTATCCTTGTGACTCAGATATGCAACCCTGACACCAGCCAATCACAAAGCCTGTCATCTTTTTCTTAAGAAACAAAACCCATAAGAAACACAATACAAATATTAATTCTATAATGTCATAGCTCCTGGCCTATGTGATTTTTTGGTGTAACTGACAGCATCTGTCATATACTGAATTCCAAATTTGCTCTTATGGCCAATAGCAAGTCACATGATTGGCTATCTTTTAGGCGTCAATATAAAGCAATGGTTCTCTATAGGGAGGGGGTGATTTGGCAATGTCTAGAGACAGAGAGAGTTTTGCTTTTCACACTGGGAGGATGCTGCTGTTGCATCCAGAAGGTAGAGGCCAGGACCACTGCAACCCTTCCCAGACACCCAGGACAGCCCCGCAAACAATTCTCTGGACCAAAATATCAAAAGTGTCAATCAAGGTTAAGAAACTCTGATTAAGAATAAAGGAAAAACTAAAGAAAAACTCTAAAAACCACAGTTAATTCTTAGCACTCACCTTAATTTTAAAATGGGTTGAGAGTACTTAGTTTATTTTTCTGTTAGGCCATTTCTCTAACCAGTATCAACGTCTCAGTTGTATGCCATTTGTTTCACTTTTAAAAAAGAAAATGAGGAGGGTATTAAATTATAAGTACATCAAAATGTCCATAGCTTTCTACTGATTCCATTAATGCATTTTAGTGTTTCTCGTGAAGTTTTTATGTGTCACTGATATTGCAGATGGGACCCTTACTGCTCCTGAGACAAAATCTGACATTTTAAAGTCATTCTAAAAGAGAAACAACAGTGAGAAAAAAAAAATCAGATTTCAAGCTCACCAGGTAGTAGGTAGCCAGGGCAATTGATTTTCACCCAAACTGTTTGTTCCTTAATCATATTACCAGATCAAAACCTACTTCTGCTGTACTTCGTTATGCTTATAAAATGGTACCATTTGTGGAGCATGTGCTTAATATATGTTTCTTGAATAAGTGATGCCCACTGATTAAACTGCTTCTGGTTTCCCTGTAATTATTCCTACTTCAAGATACGAAGTTCTGGTCAGGAAATTTTTGCCTAGACACTAATTATCCCCAGACAATGGAGTCTCAAATCTACTTCTTTACCCTGCTTTATGACGACGGTAACAACTTTATGATGGCAACAGCCTGCCTGAGTATTTTGAGAAATGCATTTTTCTCCCTTTATTTTGCTTCAAGCATACTATCAGTGTGCCCCATGCTCTAGTGAGGAAAACTGGGTTTTGTTTGGTATTTAAAGCATTCCTTTAGAGCCATATGAGTTTGAGTCCTTGCAAAGTGGCAGTCAGGGCTCAGTGAGTTTTCATGACTGTATTGTGGAATCCTGACTGGAAACATTGTTTTGGGGTCCTAGAATCCAGGCAGATCCAAGAGCCACCAGGGAAAGAAAGAATGAAGCATATATTCTTAGTCTTGTTATTCGCACAAGCACAAAGCCATCAGGTCCCCTGGGGAAGAAAGCTCCCCCTTCTATAACAGTGTTACTTCGTGGGGAGAGTTAGGTTGGTCAAACACATACCACGTATTCACATACCAAGCCAGTACAAGAAGTAAGAGATCACACATTGATGCCAGCTGAGGGAAATCAAAGAAAACTGAGTGCCGGATTTTTAAAATCGATCATAATTGCCATTATTCATTTCTTAATGGATGTAACTGAGACAAGTTGTCTTTTTTGGACATGTTAGACCACTGCCTCGCCCTTTTCCTGTTAAACAGTGATCAGAAATAACAAAAGGAAAACATTTAAACTTCCCCTTGGATCCTGAGTAGCTTGGAAAATCAATGTTATTTGAAAAATTCTGTGTCTCATCCACCTTCACATATTCCCCTCATCAGGACTTCCATTATTGCTGGCTGGTTTACTTCCTAGTCCCTAATCTTTCATAGAAAAGAAGTACTATTTTAAAATCACATCAATTTTGCAAGCTTCAAAGTTGGGAACAACAGTTAAAAGCAGGGTGGGCGTGGGGAGGAAGGAGGGAGATTAAAAAATAACAACAAAAACAATTTTGAAATACAAGAATGCTAAGAAGTTAGGAAGAGGTTTGGAAGAGGCAAAGAGGAAACTGGAGATTTCTTTTGAAAGAAGTCCCCATTCTCTGAGCCTCCATTCCTTCTGAATGTTAATTACAGTCTTTACCTTGGCATTTTGCTCTCATATCAGGGAAGCAATTACTGGCCTAATTCAAATTCATAGCAGCCATTAACAATGAACAAACAGATACATTATTTTAATTCCATTTGCCGCTTCCTTTCTGCTGATGTATTGACCCATGAAGTGTTGACTGGATGTCCTGTAATTGGCATTTGGCAAAGGTTGTTATCATCATCATCCTTCCCATATATGAGTATTTATTAAGCATATATTGCATACGTAACACCTTGCAAGGGCAGGCAGCTTAAAGACCACAGGCCAGAAATAGCATTTGCCTTTATGTAGGTTATATAATGACGCATTCATTTTTCTAGATATAAATTTAGCCTATTTGGATGTACGTGCATGTTCCTATACGGTGTGCGTGTGCGTGTGTGTAAGGGTGTGTGTGTGTTTGGAGGGGTCAAGGTGAATAACAACACACTCAGAGGATTATTATTTCTTACATATAATTTTCAACCATTCCCAGTATATTATTTCAATCGTATATGTATGTAGACTTTGTCCTTCACTCAATACTGCTATTTCCATCAGATTCCAAGGCAAGATCTCACCATGAGCTATTGTTAATAAAAAGAGAGGAAGAGAAGAGAAATAGCTCTAAAATAGAATAATCTATAACCCTTTTCCTATGATTTCCTCTTCTTTCTTGAGTCACTGACTTTTCTTATCATGAAGCACTGTAATATTATCTTGCTTTCCATTCATTTTGCACACTGATATTATATTTGTTAAGTTTTAATTTGGAGGTATTTTATATATGCCAAGCTGGTTTTTTGCTTTTGTGTTTTCAGAATCATTTAATGTCATTGCCCTTGTCCCAAGGTACCAGCCATACATAAATTAATTACTTTGACCAGAAAGAGTACTAATGTCTCTCAGCACTGTGGAATCTCATGAACTACAGGGAAGCCATTCACCTTCTTGGGTCTCAATTTCCTCTTCTGTAAAGCCAGAGGGTAGCATTCCAGAGTGTCTTCTGGTTCTGAGCTTATAGTTTCTAAACATGACCCTGAGTTTCTGAGCTTGTGGACTAGGCCAGTGCAATGAAATACTGTGCAATGGGTAACACTAATTTAACAATGTATTGACGTTTTTTCTTTTACGCCCTTTGAATTTGCTCCCTGCCTCAAATATGTGGTGTTTTTATGACTATTCTCTTCCAAGTCAGCTCCTAAAGCCTTTGTTTATATGAAGATACTAACTGCCAATAATTGGTGAAATGTCACCGTTCTCTGAAGTTGTTCCATTTTAACTTGCATTGATAATATACGTTAAAGATAGTATCTAATGCATAAAATTATATTTATTCCTCTTTTTCTGCTTGTATTTCACCTTGTAGGGATTAGGTCCATGTCCCTGAAGTCCTCTCTACATAAAATTTAGCAAAGGGTGAATTTAGAGGCTTAGTAATAGTTGATTTAAACGAATAATCCAAACCTTATTAAAATCAGTTTATAGTTTATAGGATCTCAGGCACGCAATGCCTGTTATAAGAAGTAAATTATCAAAAACGAGATTGTCTTGTTCAGCCCTGCCACCCAATGCAGGAATCTTGTCTTCAGCGTCCTGGACAGATGGTCATTTCGTCCGCTTCTGCTTCAGCACTGACAAACTGATCACAGATCCTTGTGGCAGGTTCCTTTATTGCTGACCACCTCTGATGGGGAGGGATGGTTTCCTTCATGTGAACCAAATTTCTGTCTTCGTATACTTCATTCAATTTTTCTAGTTTTGCCATCTAGATTAGTAAGGAAGACATCTAACATTGTCACCATTCAAATATTTAGTGACAACTATCATTTCACCATGACCTGACATTTACTTCATTTGGGTGAACAATTTTTCCTACCCCAAATTAAAAATACAAATATTTTACCCTGCTTGACATAATAAAAAGTTCCTCAGAGCATCAGGTATCCAGGATTTTGCTGATATTTAAGAAATTATCTGGAGATTGAGGATATAGTCCCAACTGGAGAATTTCTGAGTCAAACTGCGTGATTGTAAAATCTGGCATCTGAAAATAGCACCCTAAAATTGACTTGTTATTTATAGTTTTACTAGAGTACTCACACTCAAAGAGCCAGCATTTCAAATGAATTTGAATATTTAAGCCAGATTGATACATTGAAGGAAAACCAGTAACCCCCAAATGCCAGAGCTCAGGACTTCAGCATTGACCCCCTAGGGTTGAAAAACTCCTGAGTCGGGATGGCTTTTGGAAGATGAAATCCGAGTAGTGGGCTAGTCTTGTTGGAATAGTTATGTTCATGCTTGTAACATTAAAGGCCTTCTGAGATTTGTTTGATATTTTCATTGGCTTTATCTTCTCTTCTTCAAAGCAGCAGCAGGAGCACAGAGATGGTAATATCTTTGCATGGCTTGTAAATCTAGCTGCCTAAGGTTTTGGTAAAACTAGAGCGTTTAAAGTTGTAAAATCTAGGCAAAGAAAGGTCACTGGACTTTGTGTCTGGAAATTTGAGTATTTTTCTTGACTCTGCCACTAACCACTCTGTAACTTTTGACAATTCACTTGAGTTCTTCAAGTCTTAGTTTTCTAATACCATATGATGCTCATATCTGGCCTTTTGGAAAACTTGGGCCCTTGCTGTCCGTTTTACAGGGTGAAACCTCATGAATTCTACCACATTTTCCTATTTGGAGGATCTCATTTCTTTTTGCCTCTTTTCTTCCCATCCTTGAGTGTCCTGAAGGTCATAGGCCTTTCTTTATTCTGGAGACACTCTGGGTTAAGACACTGTAAGTGGAGGATGTTGATAGAGGATGCTGACGGTTCTGGGCTGGAGGAACATTCAGGCCAGGAGTAGTCATATGAACAGGGAGATGAATTAATGCAAACTTCCCCTGCACCACTGATGTCCATTCACTCATTTATTCACCCACTCACTCAAGAAACCCAAGTTTTAGTGAGTGTCTACTTAGTGCCAGCTAGGTACTGTGTGAATAAGGGTCTATCCTTTGAGGATATCATCAAAGCAACATGATGTATCAAGTACTACTGAGAAAAGTACATGTAAAAGGGACTCCTGCCTAGTCTTGGCTTCCTGAAAGAAGCATCATATACTCTGAAACTTGAAAGATGAGACTAAAATAGTCAGGGATGGAGTGAGAAGGGAGGGAGGAAAGGGAGACACCCTCTGCAGACTGAGAGAACACCTTGTGTAATTGGCAAGTTAAAGACATTTTAAATAGTTCAAAGTTAGCTCAGTCCGGCTGGGATGTAGAGTGTGGCACCAGTGAGTGAAGGAAGACCAGGGTGGAGGCTGGGCCTGACCATGAAGGACATCATAAGTAGGTGACCATCTGATTTATCATCTGGTGCATTCTAGAGAGCAATGGGCAACACAAGGAGTGATTACACTGGCAGAGTGGCATAATTTAGAATTGTTCATGGCGAACTGGGACACACAGACTTCTACAGGTGAATGGGCCTCCTGTGTTACGAGGTTGCCAAATGTTATACATGAACCGGGACCTGGGGACATCCAATCATCTAAGTGGTTTATAAAGAATCTGGACTCCATTGTGATTTTAGCAGCTCAGTGACAGGGGACATCCAAGAAGCTTTTGGGGGGAAAGATACAAACCCAAACCCAAACTCATTATGCTGTTTTCTGATCTCTTAAGTGCTAAATGAGTAAATAGCAAGTTGTAGGCTCCACTCTAGATTTTTGCGTATAATTTTAGGTGGAATTTCTTTACCCCACACTTCCACCACTCCCTCTCTCTCCCTGTAGTTCAATCACAGCCTTTCATCCCACAATAGGAAATTAAATATTTAAATGCAAATGCTCTGAGAGTTACTCCATGGCTAAGGAAAAGTCTCACCCTGAGGGTTTTTTTTTTTTTTTTTAATAGGGAAGGAGGCTGACTTCTGAGAGAGAGGGGAAGAAGCAGAAAATGGGACTCACACACGCACAGAGTTTGAGAGCTTCACAAATTTATTTTGTGACTACGTTCATATGTGGAATAGTCTAGAAGAAAAGTATGGTAGGATGAATAGGAGGGAAGAAAATTCCTTATTTTTTCTTTTAGAGTTAAGGTCTAGCTCTGTTGCCCAGGCTAGAGTGCAGCGGCACGATCACAGCTCACTGCAGCCTCACATATCTACGCTCAAGCGATCTTCCGACCTCAGACTCCTGAGTAGCCAGGATTACAGGCTTGTGCCACCACCGCCGGCTACTAAAATTTTCTGCACAGACCAGGTCTCGCCATGTTGCCCAGGCTGATCTTCAATTCCTGGCCTCAAGGGATCCTTCCACCTTGGCTTTTCAACTTGTTTGGATTACAGGCATGAGCCACCATGCCCAGAAAAAAAAAAAAAAAATCTTATATAAGCTCCTGCATTCCTGCTTGGCTGATCTGGGGATGGGGTGGGTGAGCATTCTAACAGGGATGGCATTCTCTTGCTATTGAATATTATGAACATAATTAAAACTTCTACTTCCATGGTGGAAGCACGTGTTGGGTCTGAACAGACATGACGCAGGAGACATATGTTCAGACAGCGAGATGAGGGAGGAAGCAGTGTGCCTGCCTATGAGTTAACTAAGCCCCAACTACCCAGCTAATGCGTCTCCTAGAGAAACGGGAGACTCCACTCCACTGCCAGGGATGCTGATCACCAGCCTTTTAATTTTATAGTTTGAAATGAAGTACCCCTTGATGTATGTTTGATTATTAATTATTATATTATTGTTCACTATTTCTGGAAAGCAGTAACATGTTTAATAAAAGTCTGAGCTACAATAATGAAAATCATTTAGATAATTTCAAGCATTTCAACCTCCTAAGGACTTCAGTTTGATTTCCAAAATACTGTAGAAACTTCCTAATTCAGACTAATGACAGAGAGCCCCATTGTGCATTATAATCTTGCAGATGAGTGGGTATGCAAACAGACAGAAAAAAAAATCAAGGAAGGTAAATCACACAATATGCTTCCTCTATTTGTTTTGACAATGGTAGTTCAGACTTAACAGTCTATGATAAAACTTCCCTGTACATCAGTCAGTGTACTGTCGCTTGTTTCATAAAGATAATGAAGTCTTGGTAATCAGAAATCTCACTCTAGGACTCAAGACATTAAATCTTTGCTCAGACATGGCACTGGGACTGCAGGGGTTTCAAATAATTATCTGGCTTACAGAGTACTGAAGTGAGAGTGATAGAAGTTCCACCGTAAAAGCAAAGTGAAAAACAGAGGTAAAAGGATATTTTAATCCATTGCATGGCTGCCATTTAGAAATATTGGAATATTTTGTCTTTAAAAATCACAGATCTTTCAAGGCAGAAGAGATCGTGTATAAGTTAGCATCCCAGCCTACTACACTGCTGTATTGATTAGGGTTCTGTGATCGTACCTTCGAGAAACAAGGAGGTCTAACTTAGTTACATGCAATTCTCCCTCGTCTGAGAAAATGCTACATGTTTTTGTGCACTGAATGGGATTCATACTCAGGGGTAATGTTGGGATTCAGAATGTAATGTACCTCAATTTTTATTATTACCCATCATTTTATATTCTCTTCTCCTCCTCTCCCTTCTATTCATGTTGATGGATGGTTCTCAGCCCTAGCTGTACATTAGAACCATCTAGGGAGCTATTTAACAACATCATTCCGCATCTCTAGACATTCTGCTTTAATTGATGATTGACAGCCAGTGCCAGACCATTGATAGTAGAAAGGGCTGTGTTTTCCTGTTTAGTCTTCAGTATCATATTCTGTATCCTTCGTAGAGCCCCAGTGGGGAGGATCTATCTGGATCCTGGACAGGATAGAAAGACAGTCTCACTGTTGGTTAAGTCAGGCCTGAACCATTTAGGGGGAGGTGTGGAGTAGAAACCTGTGCCCTGGAATCAGCATGCCTGGCTGTGAATTCTCAAGTGAACACGGACTAGCTGAGTCATGTTCTGAATGCATTTAATTAATCTCCCAACTCAGGTTTCCTCATCTGTAAAAAGCAGACAATTACAACTCTATAGAGTTGTAACTAAAGAAATTAATACATATGAAGTGCTTAGAACAGTTCCCCGCACATGGTAAGAACTATAAATATCAATTGTTATTTTATAGAATCTGTAGGTCAAAGACAGAGCGATAGAAGGTGCTGCTTTCCAACACCTGCAGGTTCTGAAGAAGTCGGGTTGGTTCTGGAGGAGGTAGCGGAATTGCTGATGCTGTCAAGGAGAGTGGGATGACCCTTTGGGTAAACCCTATAAATGGTTTTGAAAGAGTGAATTCTGCAGGATCTCTGCTTTTGTAGCTATTTAGGGGGAAAAATCTTAGATAAAGAAAGGGCCAGAGAAATAAAATTGTTATATTTTTAAAAAGGGGTTGGGCACGATGGCTTATGCCTGTAATCCCAGCACTTTGGGAGGCCTAGGTGGGTGAACCATGAGGTCAGGAGTTCGAGACCAGTGTGGCCAACATGGCGAAAACCCGTCTCTACTAAAAATACAGAAAATTAGCTGGGCCTAGTGACAGGCACCTGTAATCCCAGCTACTCAGGAGGCTGAGGCAGGAGAATCACTTGAACCTAGGAGGCGGAAGTTGCAGTGCGCCAGGATTGTGCCATGGTACTCCAGCCTGGGTGACAGAGTGAGACTCCATCTCAAAAGTCCACCTGAGTTCTAATAAAATTTTGTTACCCAAAATGGGTCTGCAAAAGTTTTTAGAGAGACAGTGAATTCTTAAAATGCTTGTTTATTTGTGGGAGGAATTATTGTAGAGATGTAATAAGCTTGGTTAAGATGGCTCAAACGTTGACACAACTACAGTGATTTATTTGGACTGGCAGGCTGGGAGGAGTTCCTTAGCAAGGTTAAATTTCAAAGCTCATAGGTCAGAGACATAAAGGGGCCAGTCAAGTGAAAAGGAAATCCCTAGCCAAAAGAAAGAAGTGAAGCATACCTTCCTCTCTCTAAAGTTAAATCTAGATTGATTGAGATTTTGGAAATCATTTGTTTTGTGGCTGTTTCCCCCTTCTCCCCATTTTTAGTGGTAACATTTACATTTTGGGCCTCTCCTTCCTGTTCCTCCTCTTTTTGTTTCAAGCAAGGCAGGGCTCATGGAATGAAATAGAATATAAGTTTAATACCAGCTTAAGCTAAAACTAATTAAGGAAGCAAATCTGCCGCTCCCCTCCAAAATCAAACACTGCATACCAGAATCAAGTCAAAATGACTTTTAGATTGTCTGTTATTTGGGAATATCGGTACCGCTGCTCCTTCAATTACCAAGTCTAATTTGGAGTTGACTGCAGATTTAAGCACTTTTCGCAGGAGAAGTTCATGAGGCATTCAGACTAAATCTAATTCATTTGTACAGTATTTCTTGGGCAAAGGTGGGTAGCTAGGGATTCGTCTAACTACGGGGTAGAGGAAAACTGCAGCACGAGGGACTTTCTCATGGTCTCTAAGCGAGGTGATGGCAGAAATGGAAAATGGGACGTGGTTCTCCCTAGCTGCACCCCGCACGGCCTCTTGGTTACCCATCTCGCCTATGGGCGATTTGCCACTGGTCTCTGCTTCCATCCTTTCTCTGTCTTTGCACAAACATACAGAGGCATTTGAAAAACAACAACAACAACAACCTGGTTATAGTAATGCTTACATATATTATGTTCATGAGCCTTTCCATGCACTTCCTGTGAAACCTGGAGCCCCGGGTATTTGGATAAAATTGAAAGGACGCATACTAATTTGGACGCTGTGACAGCATTGTAACCAAGACTTACAGTTGCAAATGGTTGACAACTCAGCTATTGGGTGATAAGAGAGTGATGGAAATCTGATGTGATGGGATGACCCTTTCTGACAAGTGAACAAAGAAACCTGCATATCTATTTTTAACCAGGCTCTGGAGACTTCCAGTAATTGACATTTGGAGCCGAGCTCATACTTGTCCTAGTTCCTGGGGATATTTGCATCTCTTTCTGTGTTTGGGTTTTGTTTGTCTAATCTTTCTGAGCAGGTTGGGAAGGCATTAGCCTCTGCCTAGGCTCAGGACTCAGGGAAGATGCTCTCCTTTCTCCCAGCTCCCTGCAGCCTCCTGCCATTTTCTCTGGCTGGGCCTTCGTGCATGATGTTTTATTACAGCAGAAATGCAAATGCTACCTTGTGTTGTTGTGAGTTGCCATACCTGAGGGCCGCTGATAAATCAGGTTTTATTGTTCGTACTTATTATAGTGGGACACAGAGAGACATCAAGGTTGGGTCCTTGAGTTGAAGTGCAGCAGAATAAAAGATAAAGCCAGAACTTGGTAGGTGGAGGCGTAGGAGAGTCAGAGGTCACCTCCAATCTCCCTTAAACTCTTATGTGGGCCCTTTGGCTGAAACTAGCAACCAAACTGACACCAGGCTGATGAACAAGAAAGAAGCATATCAATTGTATTAGCTTTAAATGTACATAGAGATCTTCTGAAGAGAGAGAGGTGAAGAAGTAGCCAAAGGAAGTTGCTTTTATACTTTTTAGACAAAGAATGATCAATTTGAGAAGAAATTACAAGGCAAAGAATAGGTAGCCAAGGGGCAGTCAATTTCTACAGGAGTCACTAGGAGATACATAGGAGTGGGGAGTGTAAAAGTAGTAGAAGTAAGGGTTACTTTGAGAAGTCTATTAATTCAGGTCCATTGCAGGCCCCAGCGCTCAGTCTCTGGTGATGAGGTCTGTTTTCTTGCCTTGGTACAGGTATGGGGCCTCTCCCAGAGGAATCTTTATGCTATGCTGCAAGCAGGAAGAGACAGGTCAGCCCACCTGTTTTAAAACTGCAATATCTAGAATGTGGTCAACTCAAAACAATCCATATAACAATCTGTTGTATTTTGGTATGGCGCATCCTTCACTCCTTCAGAGGCTGCATGTAAACAATTCTCCCAAAAGGAAGTGACTGGAATGAACAACAGAGTCTGTGAACCCAGCCTTGGGCCTCCCTTTCTTCTTTTCCCTCTTCCCTGGGGCTGCTCATGTTCCTGATCAGCCTTCCTGTATTGGGTCTCTTATTCTGCCTCTTCCTGAATAAAACCTCTTCCCATGCAATGATTCAATGATTTATCCATATCGAGATGCAATGGACACACAGAGTTTCTGCATTACTTCTCAGCATGTTTTTAGCATTTGAACAAGGACAAGGCTGAAATCCAAAGGGGTAACCCTTTTGTCTGGGAATTCCAGATACCTAGTGGGGGTGAAATTCTCAGGTTAAGGTGGAGGCTAGGCTTTTTCTGGAAATACTGAAATATCAGCATTTCAGTATTTGGGCCTCTGCTGCTTCTACGTAGATTAGAGCAGTCTCCATGAAGATGGAAGGAAAAGGCTGTGAGAACTGGAAACTACGGCGATGCTGTTCTATTCTTCACAATAGGCCACCAGAGACATCATTCAGGAAACACAAATCTCTTCACTCCAACTGAAAAGCCAGAAGTAGTTTCATGGCTCTGAAAGACCAAAATCTTTACAATGATCAACAAGGCTCCAGCAAAGTCCAGCCTTCTCTGGCAATCTTGGCCTCTCTCACTTTTCCAGTCTTCTTTCAGTTCCTCAAATGTACAAGCCATCTGCAGTCAGGCATCCCCCTCTGTCTGCGAGGTGCTTCCTCACCCGTCACCTCCTCCCCATTCCCCCACACTGTCTGTCTACCTAGATAACTGCAAATCACCATGATGACAGATCAAATGTCACTTCCTCCTGGAATGCTTTCATGATCGCTTATTTGCTCTGTTCTTATCCATACAGTGCTGAGACAATTTGCAATAATTTGCTAACTGTCTAAGTATCCATCTCTACAAGGACAAAAACTGTGTATGAATTGCTCACCATTGATATCCCCATCTCTACCACCTGCCAGACCCAGGAAGCACAAAAAGAAGTCCTTATGGGACCCACAGATTATATTGAAATCCTGATTGAATAATTACTGTCATGATTGTTATTTTACTATCAGAAAGAAACTTAGAGGTGTCCTCAAAAACATATATTATTTTCTTTCATAAATTTGATATGTATGTGTATATATACAGATATGAATGCACAATATTGGGGAAATATTTCATTTTTCAATGCATCTTTTACATCTACTGTTTTACTTGTTCCTCAAAAAAATTCTGTGAGAAGCTGAGGTATTTTATTGTGAGGAAATTCAAATATATGTTATATAAATATACGTAGATAACATACACTAGTATATTATATGGATACTATATAAGCATTTTTATATACACTAATTTACTAGTATGTTATATAATATAATTATGTATGATATGTACACATTTATGAGTATATTATATATTTACCTAAAGCCACACTGCAAGCTAGTTTCAAAGATAGAATTCATTACTGAATTTTATAATCAAGAGTGATGATTAAGATGGTGATGACAGTGTGTGGGTGTTGTTGAAAAGACTGCCTCTAGACACCCTTCCTTTTGTGTTGGCGTGTAAGGATGGGTCTTTAATTTTTGTACTGTCTTTCATGATTTGTTTGTGATAACAAATCGATGACCGCTATGAGAAGTCTTTCATTGCTGACTTTTCTGTAAAGTGAGAGAGGATAAAGCAGAAGTCAGCTGGGAAGTAGTTGAGACCAAAACGTGTTGGTTGCACAAGCAAGCTATTAAATACACACCTCACCCAGACCTGCAGTTTACTGAGAACGTAGGTGATCCGTGGTTTGGATGGATTATTCTGAAAACAAATGGATATGTAATTTTGTAGATGAAATTAGGAAAAGCAAAGAAAAGAATGTTACATATGTATATCAAATACTTTGCTAAGTACTTTCATAGGTTTTGTCTTTCTTATTAATCCTCCTTGTATCCCGAGAGATGTTGGTTTTGTTATTTACTTGTTCCAGATGAAGGAATCAAAGCGGAGATCAAAGTCAGTTCGCCTGCATAAAGTCACAGGAGCCACCTGATTTATGGGACTCTTCTACCAATCTGAGTGCTATTAATCGATTCCATTGGCTTCAGTTCTTTTCCTGGAGCCATTTTATAGTGAAACTGAATATTCTGTCATAGATTTACTGTCATATTGGACAACTTTTTAGGATCTACGAAATAAACTGACTGCTATTTAGCTATGGCTTGATGTTATCACACCACCTGCTAAGGTCTGAAGGTGTGTGCCCCACCCCCCAATTGATATGTTAAAACCTACTCTTCTTTGGGAGGCTGAAGTGGGCGGATCACCTCAGGTCAGGAGTTCCAGACCAGCCTGGCCAAACATGGTAAAACCCTGTCTGTACTAAAAATACAAAAATTAGCTGGGAGTAGTGGCACATGCCTGTAATCCCAGCTACTCAGGAGGCTGAAGTGGGAGAATTCCTTGAAGCCAGGAGATGCAGGCTGCAGTGAGCTGAAATCCGATTGTGCCACTGGACTCCAGCCTGGGTGACAGAGCAAGACCCTGTCTCAGACAAAACCAAACCCAAAACCTAATCTCCATGGTGATGGTATTGGGGGGGTGCGGCCTTTGGGAGGTGATGAGGTCATGAGGGTGAGGCCCTCAAGAATGAGATTCATGTCTTTATAAAAGAAACCTGAGAGAGCTAGCGTCCTTTTGCCATGTGAGGATGCAGCTACCGATTGGCAGTCTGCAACCTGAAAGAGGTTCCTCACCAGATGCTACATCCGTCAGTGTCTTGACCTCAGACTTCCCAGCCTCTAGAACTGTGAGAAGTCAATTTCTTGATTGCTTAGGAGACCCCGAGTCTAGCGTATTTTGTTAGAGCAGCCCGAACAGACTAAGATATCAACCTCACTGATGCCCACAGACTGGTCTCCGTCCAGCTTCCAATTTGCACACTGGCCTTAAGCAATGCTGCAGTGCCCACTTCATGAGCTGGGTTTTCTGGGGCCCTCCTTATTGACAATGGACAGCTTGTCATTCAAGAGCTGCTTTGGTAATGTATCACTCATTCTCCATTCGTCTGTCCCATTGCAAACATCCTGCAAAAAACCACTACCATGCTGGCAATTCCCACCCATGTTAATGTCTCCATCTTCTCATTTATTACCCTCTATATTCAGGCTTTATGCTCAACATACCCCAAACTCAGGTCAGATGCTTGCTATGGGTGGACAACCACTTTTTTTTTTTTGTCTCCTTCTAAAGCAGGACATCATCATAATAACATGTGTTAATCATGTTATTACCAAACATCTTGAAGATATTTTGTTTTCTAATCCTTGAACATGTACCTTAAAAATCACCATAATCGCAAGATGGCCGAATAGGAACAGCTCCCCTCTACAGCTCCCAGCGTGAGCGACGCAGAAGACGGGTGATTTCTGCATTTCCATCTGAGGTACCGGGTTCATCTCACTAGGGAGTGCCAGACAGTGGGCATAGGTCATTGGGTGCACGCACCGTGCGCTAGCCGAAGCAGGGCAAGGCATTGCCTCACTTGGGAAGCGCAAGGGGTCAAAGAAAGGGGTGACGGACGGCACCTGGAAAATCGAGTCACTCCCACCCAAATACTGCGCTTTTCCGATGGGCTTAAAAAACGGCGCACCACGAGACTATATCCCACACCTGGCTCGGAGGGTCCTACACCCACGGAATCTCACTGGTTGCTAGCACAACAGTCTGAGATCAAACTGCAAGGCCGCAGCGAGGCTGGGGGAGGGGCGCCCGCCATTGCCCAGGCTTGCTTAGGTAAACAAAGCAGCAGGGAAGCTCGAACTGGGTGGAGCCCACCACAGCTCAAGGAGGCCTGCCTGCCTCTGTAGGCTCCACCTCTGGGGGCAGGGCACAGACAAACAAAAAGACAGCAGTAACCTCTGCAGACTTAAATGTCCCTGTCTGACAGCTTTGAAGAGAGCAGTGGTTCTCCCAGCATGCAGCTGGAGATCTGAGAACGGGCAGACTGCCTCCTCAAGTGGGTCCCTGACCCCTGACCCCTGAGCAGCCTAACTGGGAGGCACCCCCCAGCAGGGGCACACTGACACCTCACACGGCAGGGTACTCCAACAGACCTCCAGCTGAGAGTCCTGTCTGTTAGAAGGAAAACTAACAAACAGAAAGGACATCCACACCAAAAACCCATCTGTACATCACCATCATCAAAGACCAAAAGTAAAACCACAAAGATGGGGAAAAAACAGAACAGAAAAACTGGAAACTCTAAAAAGCAGAGCACCTCTCCTCCTCCAAAGGAACGCAGTTCCTCACCAGCAACGGAACAAAGCTGGATGGAGAATGACTTTGACGAGCTGAGAGAAGAAGGCTTCAGATGATCAAATTACTCTGAGCTACGGGAGGACATTCAAACCAAAGGCAAAGAAGTTGAAAACTTTGAAAAAAATTTAGAAGAATGTATATCTAGAATAACCAATACAGAGAAGTGCTTAAAGGAGCTGATGGAGCTGAAAACCAAGGCTCGAGAACTACGTGAAGAATGCAGAAGCCTCAGGAGCCGATGCGATCAACTGGAAGAAAGGGTATCAGCAATGGAAGAAGAAATGAATGAAATGAAGCGAGATGGGAAGTTTAGAGAAAAAAGAATAAAAGGAAATGAGCAAAGCCTCCAAGAAATATGGGACTATGTGAAAAGACCAAATCTACGTCTGATTGGTGTACCTGAAAGTGATTGGGAGAATGGAACCAAGTTGGAAAACACTCTGCAGGATATTATCCAGGAGAACTTCCCCAATCTAGCAAGGCAGGCCAACGTTCAGATTCAGGAAATACAGACAACGCCACAAAGATACTCCTCGAGAAGAGCAACTCCAAGACACATAATTGTCAGATTCACCAAAGTTGAAATGAAGGAAAAAACGTTAAGGGCAGCCAGAGAGAAAGGTCGGGTTACCCTCAAAGGGAAGCCCATCAGACTAACAGCTGATCTCTCGGCAGAAACCCTACAAGCCAGAAGAGAGTGGGGGCCAATATTCAACATTCTTAAAGAAAAGAATTTTCAACCCAGAATTTCATATCCAGCCAAACTAAGCTTCATAAGCGAAGGAGAAATAAAATACTTTACAGACAAGCAAATGCTGAGAGATTTTGTCACCACCAGGCCTGCCCTAAAAGAGCTCCTGAAGGAAGTGCTAAACATGGAAAGGAACAATCGGTACCAGCCGCTGCAAAATCATGCCAAAATGTAAAGACCATCGAGACTAGGAAGAAACTGCATCAACTAAAGAGCAAAATCACCAGCTAACATCATAATGACAGGATCAAATTCACACATAACAATATTAACTTTAAATGGACTAAATTCTCCAATTAAAAGACACAGACTGGCAAATTGGATAAAGAGTCAAGACCCATCAGTGTGCTGTATTCAGGAAACCCATCTCATGTGCAGAGACACACATAGGCTCAAAATAAAAGGATGGAGGAAGATCTACCAAGCAAATGGAAAACAAAAAAAGGCAGGGGTTGCAATCCTCATCTCTGATAAAACAGACTTTAAACCAACAAAGATCAAAAGAGACAAAGAAGGCCACTACATAATGGTAAAGGGATCAATTCAACAAGAAGAGCTAACTATCCTAAATATATATGCACCCAATACAGGAGCACCCAGATTCATAAAGCAAGTCCTGAGTGACCTACAAAGAGACTTAGACTCCCACACATTCATAATGGGAGACTTTAACACCCCACTGTCAACATTAGACAGATCAACGAGACAGAAAGTCAGCAAGGATACCCAGGAATTGAACTCAGCTCTGCACCAAGCAGACCTAGTAGACATCTACAGAACTCTCCACCCCAAATCAACAGAATATACATTTTTTTCAGCACCATGCCACACCAATTCCAAAATTGACCACATACTTGGAAGTAAAGCTCTCCTCAGCAAATGTAAAAGAACAGAAATTATAACAAAGTATCTCTCAGACCACAGTGCAATCAAACTAGAACTCAGGATTAAGAATCTCACTCAAAACCGCTCAACTACATGGAAACTGAACAACCTGCTCCTGAATGACTACTGGGTACACAACGAAATGAAGGCAGAAATAAAAATGTTCTTTGAAACCAACGAGAACAAAGACACAACATACCAGAATCTCTGGGACGCATTGAAAGCAGTGTGTAGAGGGAAATTTATAGCACTAAATGCCCACAAGAGAAAGCAGGAAAGATCCAAAATTGACACCCTAACATCACAATTAAAAGAACTAGAAAAGCAAGAGCAAACACATTCAAAAGCTAGCAGAAGGCAAGAAATAACTAAAATCAGAGCAGAACTGAAGGAAATAGAGACACAAAAAACCCTTCAAAAAATTAATGAATCCAGGAGCTGGTTTTTTGAAAGGATCAACAAAATAGGTAGATTGCTAGCAAGACTAATAAAGAAAAAAAGAGAGAAGAATGAAATAGACGCAATAAAAAATGATAAAGGGGATATCACTACTGATCCCACGGAAATACAAACTACCATCAGAGAATACTACAAACACCTCTACGCAAATAAACCAGAAAATCTAGAAGAAATGGATAAATTCCTCGACACATACACTCTCCCAAGACTAAACCAGGAAGAAGTTGAATCTCTGAATAGACAAATAACAGGAGCTGAAATTGTGGCAATAATCAATAGCTTACCAACCAAAAAGAGTCCAGGACCAGACGGATTCACAGCCGAATTCTACCAGAGGTACAAGGAGGAACTGGTACCATTCCTTCTGAAACTATTCCAATCAATAGAAAAAGAGGGAATCCTCCCTAACTCATTTTATGAGGCCAGCATCATTCTGATACCAAAGCCGGGCAGAGACACAGCCAAAAAAAGAGAATTTTAGACCAATATCCTTGATGAACATTGATGCAAAAATCCTCAATAAAATACTGGCAAAACGAATCCAGCAGCACATCAAAAAGCTTATCCACCATGATCAAGTGGGCTTCATCCCTGGGATGCAAGGCTGGTTCAATATACACAAATCAATAAATGTAATCCAGCATATAAACAGAGCCAAAGACAAAAACCACATGATTATCTCAATAGATGCAGAAAAGGCCTTTGACAAAATTCAACAACCCTTCATGCTAAAAACTCTCAATAAATTAGGTATTGATGGGACGTATTTCAAAATAATAAGAGCTATCTATGACAAACCCACAGCCAATATCATACTGAATGGGCAAAAACTGGAAGCATTCCCTTTGAAAACTGGCACAAGACAGGGATGCCCTCTCTCACCACTCCTATTCAACATAGTGTTGGAAGTTCTGGCCAGGGCAATTAGGCAGAAGAAGGAAATAAAGGGTATTCAATTAGGAAAAGAGGAAGTCAAATTGTCCCTGTTTGCAGACGACCTGATTGTATATCTAGAAAACCCCATTGTCTCAGCCCAAAATCTCCTTAAGCTGATAAGCAACTTCAGCAAAGTCTCAGGATACAAAATCAATGTACAAAAATCACAAGCATTCTTATACACCAACAACAGACAAACAGAGAGCCAAATCATGAGTGAACTCCCATTCACAATTGCTTCAAAGAGAATAAAATACCTAGGAATCCAACTTACAAGGGATGTGAAGGACCTCTTCAAGGAGAACTACAAACCACTGCTCAAGGAAATAAAAGAGGATACAAAGAAATGGAAGAACATTCCATGCTCATGGGTAGGAAGAATCAATATCGTGAAAATGGCCATACTGCCCAAGGTAATTTACAGATTCAATGCCATCCCCATCAAGCTACCAATGACTTTCTTCACAGAATTGGAAAAAACTACTTTAAAGTTCATATGGAACCAAAAAAGAGCCCACATCACCAAGTCAATCCTAAGCCAAAAGAACAAAGCTGGAGGCATCACACTACCTGACTTCAAACTATACTACAAGGCTACAGTAACCAAAACAGCATGGCACTGGTACCAAAACAGAGATATAGATCAATGGAACAGAACAGAGCCCTCAGAAATAATGCCACATATCTACAACTATCTGATCTTTGAGAAACCTGAGAAAAACAAGCAATGGGGAAAGGATTCCCTATTTAATAAATGGTGCTGGGAAAACTGGCTAGCCATATGTAGAAAGCTGAAACTGGATCCCTTCCTTACACCTTATACAAAAATCAATTCAAGATGGATTAAAGACTTAAACGTTAGACCTAAAACCATAAAAACCCTAGAAGAAAACCTAGGCATTACCATTCAGGACATAAGCATGGGCAAGGACTTCATGTCTAAAACACCAAAAGCAATGGCAACAAAAGACAAAATTGACAAATGGGATCTCATTAAACTAAAGAGCTTCTGCACAGCAAAAAGGAACTACCATGAGAGTGAACAGGCAACCTACAAAATGGGAGAAAATTTTCGCAACCTACTCATCTGACAAAGGGCTAATATCCAGAATCTACAATGAACTCAAACAAATTTACAAGAAAAAAACAAACAACCCCATCAAAAAGTGGGCGAAGGACATGAACAGACACTTCTCAAAAGAAGACATTTATGCAGCCAAAAAACACATGAAAAAATGCTCATCATCACTGGCCATCAGAGAAATGCAAATCAAAACCACAATGAGATACCATCTCACACCAGTTAGAATGGCTATCATTAAAAAGTCAGGAAACAACAGGTGCTGGAGAGGATGTGGAGAAATAGGAACACTTTTACACTGTTGGTGGGACTGTAAACTGATTCAACCATTGTGGAAGTCAGTGTGGTGATTCCTCAGGGATCTAGAAGTAAAATACCATTTGACCCAGCCCATCCCATTACTGGGTATATACCCAAAGGACTATAAATCATGCTGCTATAAAGACACATGCACACGTATGTTTATTGTGGCATTATTCACAATAGCAAAGACTTGGAACCAACCCAAATGTCCAACAATGATAGACTGGATTAAGAAAATGTGGCACATATACACCATGGAATACTATGCAGCCATAAAAAATGATGAGTTCATGTCCTTTGTAGGGACATGGATGAAATTGGAAATCATCATTCTCAGTAAACTATCGCAAGAACAAAAAACCAAACAGCGCATATTCTCACTCATAGGTGGGAATTGAACAATGAGATCACATGGACACAGGAAGGGGAACATCACACTCTGGGGACTGTTGTGGGGTGGGGGGAGAGGGGAGGGATAGCACTGGGAGATATACCTAATGCTAGATGACGAGTTAGTGGGTGCAGCGCACCAGCATGGCATATGTATACATATGTAACTAACCTGCACAATGTGCACATGCACCCTAAAACTTAAAGTATAATAATAAAAAAAAATCACCATAATCCTAGGAATATGGCGATTTCCCTTTTCTCTGAAAAGAAAACTGAGATAATGTAAGAAAAATAAGTTCCTTGAGGACATAAGCTTGAAGGAGGTTGAGCTGGTATTTGTTTGTTTTTTCGAGACAGAGTTTCACTGTCACCCAGGCTGGAATGCAGTTGGCACGATCTAGGCTCACTGCAACCTCTGCCTCCCCAGTTCAAGTGATTCTCATGCCTCAGCCTCCTGAGTAGCTGGTATTATAGGCGTGCATCACCATGCCAGGCTAATTTTTGTATTTTTAGTAGAGATGGGGTTTCACCATCATGGCCACACTGTTCTCGAACCCCTGACCTCAAGTGATCTGCCCACCTCAGCCTCCCAAAGTGCTGAGATTATAGGCATGCACCACTGTGCCCAACCATGAGCTGGTATTTTGCATGCAGGTGGTCTGTCTTCTGGTCCTGCACTGTTGTCAACCATTGTGTACTGATGGGATGCTTGATGGGAGCGGGTAGGCATTTGTGCCTTCATTCTGTACTTTTATTTTGGCACTCACTGTATTTTATACAGTGTATTATTTTAATCTATGTGTGTGCATACACACACATACACATGATAACACTTAGTAAGATGTATAGATAACCTTAATCATGTAGGCTGATAGACTGGGAAACATGTTTGATTTGCTCAAGCAAACTCAAGCCTCTAACTCAAGGAAGCTACAGTCTGGAGGACATCGTATGCTACAGGGTAACACCTGCAATTCGGGCATCATAATGAACCAGTCACAAAGGGAAAGGTGCAAAGTTCTGGGAATTTCTAAGGTGAGGTAGAAAATCTTCAGCAAGGAGGAAACCTATATAGTCTTAGAAGCCAATGAAGAAGAGGAGAGAGGTCAGAATTCAGAAAAATGATACAAAGAGAAACAGTATTACTGGAGACTGTAGCTCCTAGCACCCATATATGGACATTATAGCTTATGTTCCACAGAGATGGTCATCAGTTTAAACCTCATTCTCAATCTTGTATATTCTGAAACCTGCCACTGGAGTCTCTGCATGTAGATCTGACTGGTGCTTGGAATGTCCTCCACATATACTTGTTGAATGAAATACTTCCTGTGGGATTTCATGTTTGATTTCTGTTGAAATTCAGTAGGAACATGTTATGTATAGATATAGAATTTTGTTCACACGTACATATTTCGTTAAATTTGTTGCATAATGTGAAATGAACTTTCAATTCTATTGAAATTCCTTGGCTGAATAGAGGGCTTTGTTTGAGGAGGTTGGTGTACACTCTCGGTTATTTGCTAATCCAGGTTCTTCGGTGAATCTGTTTTGGTTCATGTGATTTGAATGCCTTTTCTGGTGTTAGCTTAGGAGTAAATTCGTTGTCATAAACTATCCATGAGTAATCTTGTTCATGTCTTTAGCCTGCATGTTGAAAGTATTTCATAGTGCTATGAAGTATATTCAAATACTAGTTTTCATTTTTCATGTTATGATTTTGTGAAATGTGCTTTTTAATTTGATATACTGCAAAGGTGATATGGTTTAGCTCTGTGTCCCCACCCAAATATCATGTTGATTTGTAATCCTAAGTGTTGGGGGAGGGACCTGGTGGAGGTGACTGGATCATGGGGGCAGATTTTCCACCTTGCTGTTCTCATGATAGTGAGTCCTCATGAGATCTGATGGTTTAAAAGTGTGTGGCACTTCCCTCTTCACTGTTTCTCTCTCCTGCCACCATGTGAAGAAGGTCCTTGCTTCCCCCTCCCCTTTCACCATGATTGTCAATTTCCTGAGGCCTCCTGGTAATGCTTCCTGTTAAATCTGTGCAGCTGTGAGCCAATTAAACCTCTCTTCTTCATAAGTTACCCAGTCTCAGGTAGTTCTTTAGAGCAGTATGAGGATGGACTAATACAAAAGGTAACAAAAATTATGGAACTCAGAAATGATACCATATTTTTTCTTCTTTAAAACTTAAATTTAACTACTTTTTTTTTAGGAGAGAGATAGGGTCTTGTTCTGTTGCCCAGCCTGGGGTGCAGTGGTGTGAGCATGGTTCACTGAAGCCTCGAATTCCTGGGCTCAAGCAATTCTCCTGCCTTAGCCTCCCGAGTAGCTGGGACTACAGGCATCCACCACCACACCCAACTAATTAATTAATTTTTTTTTGGTATACACAGAGTTTTGTTTTGTTGCTCAGACTGGCCTCAAACTCCTGGCTTCAAGTGACACTCTTGTCTCTAAGTGTTTGGATTACAGGCATGAGCCACTGAGCCCAGCCAAAAAAAAACTGGCTAGTACCATTTATTTTCATACAACCAATTATATCATCACGAGTTGGTTTAAAGTATTGGTTCCATTCTTAGGGATGCTAAATACTGTAAATATTATAAAGGTGCCAGGAATAACTGGTGATCAAGGAGTAATGCATTGAGGTCCCTCTGTTGTACCCAGGACTTTCTCTGTACTGGACATGCATCAGCTATTCAATTGGTTTACTCTGTTGTGGCACAATGATACTTATGAATTTGGGAGTCTAGTTAAACACACTAAATGGAGGAGGCTGGGTCGGGTCTGGGCAGCACTGGAAGGCAGTGGTTATAATTTGTTAGCATCTTTCTTTCTGACTGTGGTCAAGGCAGTGGCATCTTGGAAATGTCATAGCTTTGCTTCACTGTCCCCTATGTGGAAAAGCAGTCCAGATCTGTTTATAAACAAGCACTTTATCTCCTACCTTAAAGGATTCTGCAACGTGAGATATACTGATAGTTTCAAGCTGCAGTTACAGGACCTACAGTTCTTGCTTTGACAAGACAGAACTTAGTCCATCGGCTGTCATGTTAAAATGAAAGAAATGCAGGTAAAATCCTAAATCCAAGAATAAAAACTCCAGACTGACTATAACAAAACAGATTCTTGTAACTCGGGGAATTGTTTAACCATGGTGATAAACTTGTTCGCGAATATCATAAATGTAGCAGCAGTAGTAGCCCTTGCTGTGAGTCTGTACTTTAGAAAGAACAATGGTAAGGCTTTGTATGCTTGAATCACAAGTCAGAATAGGAGACAGCATTTTGCTCTCTGCTCTTTTGAGAAGATCCATTGTTCCTATTTGCAGAAATTCCCAGACATTCTGGCTGTTCTGATCATTTTTCTTTCTCATGCCTCAGGTAGCAAATTGACAGTGGGTAGGAGAGTGTAAACACTGGGGCAATAGAAATTATGTAAATGTTGCATCCCGGCAAGAAAACTTTCAACCCCTTGAGGTCTTTTAGACAGCATTAATTCTAGAAATTAGATACAAAATTTAACTTTTTCATGCTTATAATGATTTCATAAAGAAAAACTCATTAGTAAAGGTGACAAATATGAAGTTCTATTGAACATTTAAATTCAGGAATCTCAGTGAGTGCCCTAGGGAGATATTTAGCCAGCCAATGACTCTCTGATGTTATTAAGAAGTAATTTATTCAAGGAAGTCTCCATTCATGAGTTTACATAAGAACAATACCTACTTTTCAAAGGCTTGTGTTCTCAGTATAGAACATACCTAATTTACAATGACTTTTGGTTAAAATTTTCATTAGGTTCGTTCAATAGTATTTGATAATTTTAATTTAGTTTTTTGAGATCCCAGGTTCCCATTTACAGGAAGAGAAAATGCATAGGAAATAAATTTTTAAAGAGCAAATTCATCTCTCAAGTGAGCTCTGTTAATTTCAGTAGCAAATCTGAGGTGGAGGAAAGTTAACCTTTAGTATTTCTATGGCAGTCCGTTTGGGCAGAGGTGACCAGTATCCATTAAAAACAATTCAGGTCCACTGTATCAGCACTTTGCATGTGCCCATCTGTGCAGCACTTCCACAAGAGACTCTTTGGTGAAATACTGAAATGAAAAAACGGCACCACAGTTTAAGTGTAGGGTGTTTTCATGGGCACAGAAAAGCAGAATCGAAACAGGTAAGGAGCATATGCTGCCAGTTCCTGAAACAAGGGTTAGGGAGCATACAATGGCCAGAGATCAGGAATTTAGGTAGGAAAACCACTATGTAAGATTTCATCAAGAAGGTGGGATCAGGGCAGACTCAGAGTTCCACATATAAGAAGATAAGGCTGGGCATGGGACCAGTCATCCCAGTAGAGTGGAATGAGCCTTTTGTAGTGCAAATCTGACTTCCTGCTTGTATCAGTCTATTTCCATGCTGCTATGAAGACACATCTGAGACTGGGTAATTTATAAAGAAAAGAGGTTTAATTGACTCACAGTTCCACATGGCTGGGGGGCCTCAGGCAACTCACGATCATGGCGGAAGGTGAAACAGGCATGTCTTACATGGTGGCAGGTGAGAGAAGCAAGAGCCAAGTGAAGAGGGGAGCCCCTTATAAAACCACAAGATCTCATGAGAACTCACTCACTATCACAAGGACAGTATAGGGGAAACTACCCTATGATTCAATTTTGTCCACCTGGTCCCACCCTTGACACCTGGGGATTATTACAATTCAAGGGGAGATTTGGGTGGGGACACAGAGCCAAACCATAACACTGCTCCAGAAGGGAAGATCTCAGGGATGCGGTGATCACAACCCTGCCAATGTAATGGGGACTTTGCCCAGTTTGACTGGAAATAAAACAAGTTAACAAGAGATTGCAAAAAAACAAAACAAAACAAAAACCCACCCCACCCCCCCCCCCAAAAAATCCAAAAACCCAAATCCACAGAAAATTAAAGATTTTAGCAATTAAGTTTCCAGGTAAAGCTACCTGGTTTATACTTCCAAGGTAATAACTTCAAACGTTTTTCCCAGGTAATCTGCAATCCTATCAACACTCTCCCAATTTTATCAACCAATTGAAAGGATCTATTTGCCAACAACGAAATCATCTTCTCACGTTATTACCACCGTGTTGACACTGTTGAATTGTAAATAAAATGTCCTGTCACATTAAGCAGCACGGTCCTGAAAAGTTAGGTGCGGTTTGCGTAGCTGCCATCATCCTCAGTGAAAGATCAAGGAGGGCAAGCCACTCCCAGGCCACCATGACCATTCTGAACTGGCCTCTTTCCCCTGACTCTTCAGGTAAAGGAAGAGGACTAGGAAACAATTATTCCATGAATTTGATCAATGCAGAAAACCAAACTAGATTAGACACCTTCTAAATGTCAGCTTCCCCCGACTAACAGTCTTATATGTGTTTCTTCTCTTTATTTAGCTCATGAAAGTAGCTGTGGTCTACTTAGAAAACAGACTCTTTCACACTTGTCTCAACCCACAGCAAAGAAGGAACTGGCTTCTTTCTCAGTAGGAGCCCTAAGCTATAAAATCAGCCTCATATTAAGGTGAATTCAAAAGAACATCTCCTGAATTTTTAGGGCTTGGCTTTTGAGACACCATATAAAACCTTTGAAACCAAAGTCAAAAGCCCTGTGTGTTAGTTGTGTATGGACTTTGCAATCTATCTAAAATACATTCTGATAGTATTAGAAGTGAATCTACAGAATGTATCGTATGTGATTGCCATTGTCATTATAAGTTACGGCTCTGTATTTTATAGGATATAATAAAATGAAATGATAAAAGTGACATTAAACTTTGAATTTCAGTGCTTAAATCACACATTTGATTCATCATTTGGCAGCTAAATGTCTCTTAAGTACTGTGGAAAGTTTTATGATTTAATGTTTGCCTAAAGAACGGAAAGAAATGGGTAAAGCTGTGTCACTAAGTGCAGTTGAACGATGCTGCATAAAACCACCAAAAAGCAGATGACAGTCTAGTTTCCTTTGGCCTCTGAGAAGAGAAAGACCAAAATCTGAGCCGCTCTGTATACTTCTGGCCCCCTGGTTCCCAGAGGATCATCAAAACCACACCATGCACAGAATAAGCATAGGGTTTACCTGCTTTCTTACCACTGCACTTAACTTGCCCTGACAACCCTTTGAAGCCCTTCATTATGCCTAAGAAACTGACATTTTGGTCTCCGGTGGTTGTTTGTACTTAGCCTCCTGTCTTTGTTGGTTTTGCTCTAACCAAAGAGAATCCACTGAGATATGGGAAATCTTAACTCTCAATGCTTAAAGGCTCAATGAACTAGCTCCCGGTGCTGTGAATAGGATGTGCCTGCAGGGTTTTCTGAAAACCTTGTTGACTATGCACCTGTTTCTCAGATTTAGGAGCTTCAAAATAGCACGTTCTATTCTTGGGATGGGAGCTGGCCTAATTTGACAAAGCTCTTGTTGCAATTTTTTGTTGTTGTTGTTGAGACAGGGTCCTGCTCTGTCACCCAGGCTGGAGCACAGTCATGTAATCTCGACTCACTGCAGGCTCAACCTCCTGGGCTCAGGCGATCCTCCCACCTCAGCCTCCTGAGTAGCTGGGACCACAGGAGCATGCCTCATGCCCAGCTAATTTTGTTTATGTTTTGTAGAGATGGGGGTCACATCATGTTCCCTAGGCTGGTCTTGAATTCCTGGACTTAAGCTATCCACCCGCCTTGTCCTCTCAAAGTCCTGGGATTACAGGCGTGAGCCACTGTGCCTGGCTCATTATTTATTACTTTTTAAACTTTGTTTTACTGAACCTTCTGGCAATGGAAATCGTTTTCCATATTCTGACCCCCACAGTCATTGCTCAAATGTCTGGTAAGAAGGCGGGACGTAGAACAGCAATATCTGGTTTCCAAACTCACTTTGTTTGGGCTCTGACTACAATTAGATAATTGTATATCAACTTGCACACTGATAGAGGAACAGTGTAATTCGTGGTGCAATCTGATGATGATTCTAGAGGATTTGTGAAGGCCCCATTACTCCCTAGAATGTTTGCTCATCTGTTGACTCCTACTGAAATAGCCACAGTCCTCTATCATCCGTGCTTCATCCCTTCATCCCGAGGTAGGAATCCCTGTGATATGTAAAGGTTGTAACATAGGTAATTCCCCAAGGTGTTATTAATCATAACTAAAGGTACAGAAAGTACGTGCGATTTTTTTTTCTGTGGGTGGGAGTAGGAGTCCCTAAAGGTAGAAATTCTGAAAAGGAGTGAAAGGAAAGAGAAACAGTCAAGAGGAAAAAGGAGAATAGAAAATCCAGAGGTCCTGGGGACCCTCTTGCCTGACGACTTTTGCCTTTGGTCCTCCTGTTGACAAAACTCTAGGGTTTTAAAGAATCTAAATTGCTTTTTGTCACCTTCTCAGTTAGAGAGGCTAATCCTAATATTAATGAACACACTTGAGCAATGAAATCGTAAGTTTTTTTCTTTCATAACCAAGCCCATCATATATGATCTACATTACAACTGCTATCCACGCAATGCATATGTGTTTTAGGATTGAGTAACTTTTTCTTTCCCATCTGTACTCTAAAACTGCGCCATATGTCACCTAACAAGGTATTTTCCATTATTATTTTATTCAGTTCACTACATGTTATTCCTCTTGCCCCTTGAGAATGAGCCTGTCTGTAATCAGAAATCACTTCTGCTCACAGCTCAGTGCACCTACTGTAGATGTGGCAAATACGTGTTTATGGGGCTGGTAATTGGATTAAAACATTAAAAAGAAACAGAAAGATGGACCGTATTGAAACGAATGGAAAACACAAGCATGAAAATCAACAAAACCAAAATGAATTAAAAGCTCCAATGAATGAAATCGCTATTAATAGGAGTTATTTATCAGTAACAATGCCCTGGATTTTGCAGGGCTCAACATTCAATTGCAATGACATTTAAAAACCTAAGTGGAGGAGGAAAAGAACTTTTGAACAGACTTTCTGTGAGAATGTTTCGAAAATAGCTGATCAGTTTCTGTGTATCTTCTGGCTGCCTTTACGCTGTTCATGTCTTCTTTGCCCCTGGATATTGAAATACTATAGTAGGGAAAATGTCCCGTGTTAAATTATTTAAGAGGGCAAATTAATTATTCTCTTAAATTTGGGTGCTATTTTGATACTTGAAATTAGAGAAAAGAGAAAGCAAGTGTGATCTGTTTTCACAGGGTCTTGCTGCGTTCTGTGAGTGTGGCACTGGGGGCTTGCTGGTCCATGTTGTCAATCCAGGAGTGATGGAGTTCATATACAGCTGACTGCTTCCATTCTCAAAACAGACCCATAGAATTCAGTTTCAGAACAGTCTCCTAATACTGTTACTCAAAATACTTTTTACAAAGAAGCCGACGTTTTGGGGGAAAACACAAGAAAACACCTAGTAATAGAACAAAAGCGATCGTAATACAGAAATGTGCAATCAAACAGTCATCCAGGAATGCTGATATCCAATAACAGGTAGGCTCTTATGTAAATGTGATCCAAAGAGACAATGGATCAGATTCAACAGTAAACTGAATCCAGAAGAAAAAAAAAATGCAAAGAGAAACAAGAGAAATGTTTATATCCCAGGAACGACAAAAAGCAGAAAACCAAAGCCAAGGGAATAAACCACCCTCACTACTTGTCTAGCAGGTGCTCTTCAAACGGAACACCTTCAGTCTGCGCAAGAAGCAAGCTCTTACCTGATGGGCCGGATCACTCCTTTGTGTAGCTCTGTAGACCTAAATATGAAGAAAATAGAAGTAATGAAGCACAGTCCTCCAATTTGTGAAACATGCTCTATGCTAACATGTAATTTTTCAAAAAATTGTTCTTTAAGAAAAACGGTGAAGCAATGGGTAACAACTGAGATTAATTTTGTGTCATTTGCTCTTGTAAATTTCTCATTGTGCTCACCGACCTACAGTGAATGCAGAAGTGAAATTTACTTGTGGAAGGCTTGTTGTTCCCCGTCAGAGTAAAATAATATTGCTGCATTAATTGATTTTTGATTTCTACTACATCTACGCAAATAAGATTTTACTCGGGGTGGTCCATATTACATTGAGGATTTTGATACCTGTTGGCTACCTTCTATTTTACCATATCAATTGAATGAGAGGTAAAGAAGGAAATTCAAGCCCTTCTTCTGCCACAGAAATTCTGTCTAGAGACTTAATGTCAGAGGATTATTCTGGAAATCTCTTAATCTGTTTTATTTTGATGGTAAAATCTAGAACATTAGCCAGTTGTTTGGGTCAAATGTTTACTGAAATCCATTTACTACACGTAAGCTTTTTTATGTTTTAGCTAAGCAATACAAACAAACTTGGTTCCAAAATGGGTTTTATATGAGTTAAAATTCATTTTCATGGTTGTCAGTGGTGTAAGATTGATGAATTAGGAGCTGGGAGGAATATGCTATTATAAATGAAAAACCTGATCTTCATTCTAGAATCCTTGAATTCATGAACCTAGACTAGGACTTGACAAACTGTAGCTCATGGGCCAAATCTAGCCTGTTAGCCTCTGACTTGTGAGCTAAGAATCATTTTTACTTTTTTAAATGGTTAAAAAAAATCAAAAGAACAGCACTATTTCATGGCATGTGAAAATTTTATGAAATTAAAATTTCACTGGGGACCAATAAAGTTTTCTGGAGCACAGCCATACGCACTTGTTTATATATAGTCTGTGGCTCCTTCCACTCTATGAGGACAGTAGGTGAGTAGTTGGAATGGAGAGGGTATGACCTGCATATCCTAGAATATTTACAACCTGGCCCTTTTAGAAAAGTGTACTAACCCCTGACCTGGGCAGTCATTGATTTCATCTCGGTTGGAGGTTTGGAGGCAGATAATGTGATGAGACCCTAACAACTGACGCTGATCAATAAGGTAGGTGAATGCTAACTTTTCAGACCATTAAAATAAAAAGAACTGTATTTTGTCCTGGGGCCCATAGGTCACTCACAGCAGACTATGAGGGATATAAACATGAATAAATGGAGTCCTTAGCTGTCTGTGCTGGAAGTCCTAGGCTGAATTCATTGCTGTACTTTAGATACTCATCAGTTCTACTCTTCATCTGATAAGACTTTATTCTTAATATTTGATAAGAATATCTAGATCATTAATTCAATACAGAATAAATAAAAACCCTTGAGAGAAGCAAATCAAAATATTTAAGTATATATCTAATTATTATTTACATGAGGAATTTACATGAAACTAAAAATGTCTACATATTTCTGTAACTTATACAAATAATACTTAAGCATTTATATGAAATTGAAAAATGGACACAACCAAACTATATTTTTAATGAAAAGATATAAACACATAAACATACCTATTCATATATACGTAGTAAACAATTAACCTTGCTAAAAGAGAGCTCTGGCCTTTTCCCTTCGCCCTGGGAAATCATGGCTAAGTTCTTGGAATGTCCTGTTTGATATGAGTGTCACTGTTTACCTGGGCCTCTTGGACTGCACCAGATAGGCTATGCTAACAATGTGATTTATGTCAGAGGCCTTGGGCCACGCGCTATCCAAGTGATTTTTGGTGAAGCTGGAGACAAAGGCCTTGCATATAGTCAACGTGTTTATGTAACTGGGCCCTAATAAGAACTCTGGACAACAAGCTTGGTGGGCTTCTGTGGTTGGCCTATAGCATACAAATTGTCATACATCATGTTTCTGGGAGAAGAAAGCACTGTCTGCAAAACTCCAGTGGGAGAGGATTACTAGAAGCCTCGCTCTTGGAACTGTCCTGGATCCTGCCCCATGTGCCCCTCCCCTTGGCTGATTTTAATCTGCATCCTTTCACTATAATAAACCAAAACTGTTGAGTATGAGCACTTTAGTGAGTTTCGTGATCTTTCTAGAAAATTTTCAAACCTGAAGGTAGTCTTGGGGATCCCTAAACTTGCAACTGGTGTCAGAAGTGGGGGTGGTCTTGGGGACTCCCAAACTCTGCAGTGTATATACATTTTTTTATTTGTTTATACACATACGCACATACATACATACATACATACATACATACATACGTACATACATACAAATCATGCTACCCGAGTTTTGTGCATGTTTTGGGGAGTGGATAGCATGTTGATTCGAGAATGCTAATGATTCTTGATCTGGTGGTGGTTAAATGAGTATTAACGTATCATTATTCTTTAACCCGTAAATATACATTTTATATACTCTTCTGTATTTATAATATCTCAGTATTTTAATAAAGAGGAAAAACTCCCTGTAGAGGAAGATATTCACACACATTCACACAAGGTTCAGTGCAGCAACTGAAGCATTCACCTATACCAGAGATTACCATTCTAAATTGAAGGAGAAAAAGGAATAATGTAACATTCATGTATTTATCGTGTATTTTTCAATGGACAGCAATGTGTATCACCATGTGCCATGTATCTACTGAATACATTTAAAAGAGTAATATAAGTAACAGTTTTATTTTGAAATGTCAATATTGTGTTGATAATTGTGGAAACTAGATGGATATATGAGAGTTCATTATCCTGGTGTTCTTTTGGGTATGTTCAAATTTTTTCATGATAAAAAAGGTTTTTAAAAGTAAAACATAGGGCCAGGCATGGTGGCTTACACCTGTAATCCCAGCACTTTGGGAAGCCAAGGCTGGCGGATCACTTGAGGTCAGGAGTTTGAGACCAGCCTGGCCAACATGGTGAAACCCCATCTCTACTAAAAATACAAAAATTAGCCGGGCATGGTGGAGGGTGCCTGTATTCTCAGCTACTTGGGAGGCTGAGGCGGGAGAATGGCTTGAACCCAGGAGGTGGAGGTTGCAGTGAGCCGAGATCACATCATTTCACTCCAGCCTGGTAGAGAGATTGAGACTTTGTCACAAAAACAAAAAACAAAACATAAGAAAAGATTACCATTTTGTCCTTAGTCTTATTACTCAGGGGCTACTGCCTATTTTTCATGAAGAGAGCAGTCACTAAAATGAATTCAAATTGGAGATATATCATACTGCACCATCTCCTACCATTCTTGATAAATTATAGCCACCAGCTTATAAATAAACAAGTATTATTTTAGCTTTTTACAACAATATGCTAAAGTAGGGGGTGGAGATAAACAAAACTCTCCTGAAATCCCTTTATTTTAGCTTAGTTGTTCAAGGACCATAATCACAATTCCCCTGGCCATGTGAGGGAATATTGGTTTTGATTTGTTTTATTTGCTCTTTTCTGGAGACTTAGAAATTCTGTTCTACTGTTTATATGTGTATCCTGGAATGGAGTATTTGTTTCATCTTATTTTGACCTCATTGTAGCAGCATAAACCCCATTTGTGCAGGTTAAATGACTTCGAAAGCTCAGATCCCCAGTAGATTCCAAAAGGATCCTAACAGAGAACTATAACTTCCTCCATGAACAGGAACTGGGATCTCACCCCCTATTTAATCACCTATCCAAGTTCTGGGAATGCTGTGTGCTTAAAACAGTTTTTAATGGATTGATCACAAGCAAAATTCAACCCTATCAACAGTCAATCTCCTTCACTCACAGAGATGCATTTGGTGCAGTTTCTGGCCTTTTGGCCGTCATTGCATATCTACACTGTGGGGCCTTGGGTCGTGCACTAACACATTGACTTTGGTGAGGCTGGAATCAAAGATCAGCCCTGCAGATGGTCAACCATGTTTATGTAACCAAGCCTCCTATGTGCACCTTGTGCAGTGCTGTTCCATGGAAAGACCACCATCATCTTTCAGGTAGCAAAGACCAGCTGCAAAATAACATAATTCTTTACAGCCAGATCATTGAACTTTAGCAGTCACCAGTGCTTACTATCTGACAAATCTGATTACTGCCTGAAATATAGATGCTGTAATACGGTCACAGTAAGGCAAAACAATTTTAAATGTTCATTTAACTTCTTAAAATATCAGATATAATTTCTTGACCATAAAACAATCAAACAAACCTAAAACACAATTTGGAAATAATTTTTGCTAGATGTGTGGATCCATAAGTATCTCCTATAAAGTAATTTTACAGGCAATAAAGAGAAAAAGATTATAAAGATGGCTAGACAGCTAACTGAGTAGAATAGTCAGAATATGCCAAAGAAGCAGAGAGTTTTGTCACAGGCTTGCACCAGTAGTCTGCTCAGGCAGAGTAATACATATACACTAAAGATGGTAACTTACTAGGTCATGTTATAAAGTGACTGTCTTTCAAAAGTCACCCAGATTGACTGTCACAAGTCAATTCCTGGCAATTGCATTACTTGCCTTCATCTGATTCCATTGTTCATATAGTCCTAAATAATCAGGCTAGTCTTATTGATTAGTGGCTTGTTCTTGCCAACTGAGCAACTCAATCAAATTGACCCTGTGGCAACTTGTTTCATTGCTTAGCAGAGAACAGCTAGGATTCCCCCAAAGCCTGAGTCAGCCATCTTTGAGCATGTAAAACAATAAACATGAGGCTGCTTCCAAGCAAAGAGCACAGTTGTAGAGAACAAACCACTGGGTGGCACTACCGCATGCGGTTTCAAGGAGAGCTTGGCTACACTAATGGAGGATCTCAAATCTTAACGTGTGTTGACAATCATTCAGTGGAATTTGCAGGTACTCTGATTTCTGGGTCCCACTCTAGAGACACTGATTCAATATTCAGTATTGGGGCCCCAGGGATATGCATTTTTCAATAAGTACCTAAATAATTCTGATTGTGACCGTCTCAGAGAATCTTAGAGAAATACAAAGCTTTATTTGCCCTGTGGTCCAAACCTCAACAGTCAGAACTGCTTCTACCTTTCCAAAAGGGGCAGTTGGTTTCTGCTATCACCATTCAATTCATGGGTTTATGCCAGGACCTTTTAGCAGCCATAAATTCTATGACCCAGTAGAAAAGGGTGTAGCCAAAGGCTCTGTCCACAAGCGTAAGACCCACTCAGTCAGTGTATAAATGGTACTTACTTGGTTTCTATGTAAATGATGTGAACCTCCAAAGTATTTTATTAACATCCTGTAACTGTATATTCTAATGTCCCCAGAGAATAATCTTGGCTGATTTCTCTCTGCAGACTATACATTGCTATAGCCCTCATTATTTTACAGCTGTCAAGTAAAACCATGAGCAGCTGGGCTGAACTGGTCTGCTTTTTTGGACCATATTAAAAGACTTTACATTGTTAATAAATGGAGGCAATTAAAGGTTAAGTATTTAGTTCATCTAGCCCTTAGAATAATGAATGATTGTAAAGACAGGTTTAATTTAATTCCCCAAATAATTTGGCATTCTTGGTTATTAAGAGTCTAAAAGTACTGTCTGTTTCTGGTTCCATACTTAGCCAGTGTGGAAGCTGTCACTCCCCCCTAATAACAAGTAAAACAATGCAGGACAACAGCTCTTCTTAGATCTGTAAAAGAAGTAGGTTCACAGGACAAACCTCTGCCCTCCAAACTGGAAACACATCATAGGCAGACACAAAAAAAATCAGAACCTACAGGAGCAGAAACCTCCATGGAACCAGTGCTGGGGTAGGAAAACTGGAACTGTAACTGGCAACTCACTGGAGGCTTGGTGTGAACAAGCCTGAGAACCAAAAGCTCTAGGGGAACCCCATCACACTTTTGTGAATTTTACCTGCAGGAGCTTGACCAGATCCTCACAGTGAATGTAAGAGAAAAATCTCTTGGTGCTTTGCTTCTGGCATGGGGAGAGGCCAAGGAACCATTTTTGAAACACACCAGATCACTCTGTTCTTTTAAACAAAGTCTACCCTTAGGAAAAGCTAGTTAACCACGGTCTAATGTGCTAGAGTTTTATCAGAGCGCCACTGACCCAGGAGAAGGGAAAAAGTTCAACTCTACCCAGCTGTGTGGACTTCCCCATGGGAGAGGGAAATACCCATTTCCAGCCCACTGTGGCATTCTGGTGGGAGAAGGAAAAAACTCAACTCTAGCCCACTCCAGCCATCCTGTCTCACCTAAGGAAGGAGAAATAAAATGAGAAACACTTGGAAATTTCACAGTTCAGAGGCACAAACTCACTGTAAGACTGAGACCTAATTATAAGGCCACAGAATGCTTCTCCTTCCCCCACACCTTACCACTACATTATTAAAGCCTACCACCAGCAGTTCCTCTTCCCAGTACATCATCTCCAGCTACCAAGAAAAGATTACAAGCCATACTAAAAGGCAAAAGCACAGTTTGAAGAGATACAGCAAGCATTAGAACCAAACATACTGGGAAGTTGGAATTATCAGAGAGGGAATTTAAAACAACTGTGATTAATATGCTAAGCAATCTATGTAAGAAAGTAGATAGCATATCAAAACAGATGGAAAATGTAAGAAAAGAGATGGAAATCCTAAGAAGGAAGCTGAAAGACATGCCACAGATCAAAAACACAGTAACAGAAATGGAAGAATGCCTTTAATGGGCTTATTGGAGGACCTGAGGTGGCTGAGGAAACATCTCTGAGTTTGAGAATATCTTAATAAAAACCTCCAAAACTGAAAAGCAAAGAGAACAAAGACTGATAAAAACAGAATATTCAAGAACTATAGGAAAACTAAAAAAAAGACATAAAATGTGTAAAAAGAAATAAGAAGGGAAAGAAAGAGAAAAAGAAATACTTGAAACATAGCTGAAAAATTCCCTAAATTTATGTCAGACACCAAACCACAGATCCAGGAAGCTCAGAGAACACTAAACAACAAAAATGCCAGAACTACACCTAGGCCTTTCATTTTCAAACAAAAGAAAATCAAAGATAAAGAAGAAAATTCTGAAAGTCAAAGGGAAAAAACCCCCGCTTATCTATGGAAGGAAAAAGATTCACCTCTGACTTCTCAGAAACCACGCAAGCAAAAAAAGAGTCAAGTGAAACAGTTAAGGTGTTGAGAGAAAGAAACCAGCAACCTAGACTCCTATACCCTGTGAAGTTATTTTTCAGTAGTGAGGGAGAAATAAGGACTTTCTTAGAAAAATAAAAATTGAGGGAATTTGTTGCTAGTAGATCTGTCTTGCAAGGGATATTAGAAGAACTACTTTAGAGAGAAATAAAATAACGTAAGTCAGAACTCAGATCCACATAAATAAAGGGAGCACATCAAAAAAGAAAAAGGTAAAATAAAAACATTTATTCTTATTTTTTTATCTAACAGGTAACAGTATGTTCAAAATCACAACAACAATTTCAACTATGTATGCTTGTGTGTGTGTTTGTGTGTATATACCTCTGTGTGTGTATGCTTCTATATACATATAAGTGAAATAAATGACAGCAATGGTACAAGGGATGGGAGAAAGGAATTAGAATTGTTTTGTTATTATAAGGTATTCACACTGGCACAAGTGGCACACTCACACAAGTGGCACACTCACACAAGTGGCACACTCACACAAGTGGCACAGTGTTATTTGAAAGAGGGCTTGAATTTGTTATTCTTTTTGAAATTAATGACTCTAAGGCAACCACTAATAAGGTAAGAAAAAAAGTATAACTAATCTTCTAAGAAAGGAGAGAAAATAGAGTCATATCAAATCCTCAATTAAACCCACAAAATGCAGAAAAGAAGTGGAAGAAAAAGTAGGAACAAAGAACAATAGCAACAAAAAGGAAATAGTAACAAATATGGTAGACAGCAATCCAATTATATTGATAATGATTTTGAATGCCAGTGATCTAAATGCAGCAATGAAAACACAGACTGTTATAGTGGATCAAACAACAAGACTCAATTGCATGTTTTCTACAAGAATCTCACTTTAAACATGAAGATATATACAGATTAAAAGTAAGCGGATAAAGAACAATATACCATGCTAACACTAATCAAAAGAAAGCAGGAGTTGCTGTATGAATTTCAAAAAGAACAGACTTCAAAGGAAAATTATCAAGGATAATGAAGGACATTAACTAATAAAAATGGGATCAATTCTCCAAGAAGACAATGGTTCTTAATGTGTAGGTGCCTAAAATCAGGGCATGAAAATATACCAGGCAAAACCAATAGCACTGCAAGGAGAAATAAATTAATCCATGATTATAGTTAAAGACTTTAATACCCCTCTATCAGCAATTCACAGATCCAGCAGGCATACAATCAGTAAGGACAAGCTGAATTCAACAATACTGTCAATCAACTGGATATAATGGACATCTATAAATTACTTGATCCAAGAGCAGCAGAATACACATTCTTCTCAAGCTGACATGGAAGATTCACAAAGACAGACAATATTCTGAGCTATAAAACACTGCTTAGCAATTTTCCAAAGACAGAAATCATATAATATCTGCTGTCAGGCCACAATGGAGTTAAATTAGAAATCAATGATAAAAGAGAGCTGGAAAATCAGAAGCTATGTGGAGATTAAAAAATAGACTTCTATAAAACATATAGGTCCAAGAGAAATTTAAAAAACATTTTGAGCCAAATGAAAATGAAAACACAGCTTATCAAAATGTGTGGGATGCAGCGAAATCAGTGCTTTGAGGGGAATTTATAGCATTGAATGCATATGTTAGAGAATAAGAAAGATCTAAAATCAATTATCTCAGCTTCTACTGTAAGAAACTAAGAAAAGAAGAGGAAATTAAATCCAAAGTAAGTAGAATAAAAGAAATAATAAAAATTAGAACAGAAGTCAATGAAATTGAAAATAGAAACTCTATAAAGAAAATCAACAAAACCAAAAGCTGGTTCTTTGAAGAGATAATAAAATTGGTAAGGCCCTAGTGAGTCCAACCAAGGAAAAAAGAGATAAAACACAAATTACTGTATCAGAAATGAAAAAGGGTTTATTACTTCAGATCTCACTAAGATCATGAACAAGGCAAGGATGTTCCCTGTCACCACTGCTTTTCAACATTGTACTGGAAATACTAGCTAGTGCAATAAGAAAAGAAAAGACAATACATACAGATAGCGAAAGGAGAAACAAATTTGTTTGGACATTACATGGTAGTCTACGTAGAAAATCTGAAAAATTAACAAAAACAGAACCCCAAACTCCTGAAACTAGTAAGCGATTATTATGGTAAAGTTATATAAAGTGAATATAGAGGAGTCATTTTCCTATGCAATGAATACGTGAAATTTTAAATTAGAAACACAATACCATTTGCATTAGTGCCCTCAAAAAAAAATGCTTAGGAATAAATCTAACAAAATACATACAAGATCTATATGAGGAAAACTACAAAACTCTGTTGAAAGAAATCAAATAATAATTAAATACATGAAGAGATATTCCATATTCATAGACAGGAAGACTCAATACTGGCAAGTCGGTTTTTCCCAACTTGATCTACAAATTCAATGCAAACACAATGAAAATCTCAGCAAGTTGTTTTGTAGATATTGACAAACTGATTCTAAAATTTATATACATAGGAAAAAGGCCCAGAATTGCCAACACATTATTGAAGAACAAGAATGAAGTTTGTAGACTGATACTACAAACTTCAAGACTTACTATAAAGCTACAATAAAGAAGACTCTATAGTATTGGTAAAATAATAAATAAATAGATCAATAGACCAGAAGACAGATTCCAGAAATAGGCCTACATAAACATAGCAACTGATTTTTGACAATGGAGCAAAGGCAATGAGATGGAGAAGACATAATATTTTTAACAAATTGTGCCGGACCAACTAGACATGCATATGCAATTAAAAAAAAAAAAAAAGGAATGTAGACACAGACCTTCTACCCTTCACAGAAAAAACTCAAAATGGATCACAGACTTAAATGCAAAATGCAAAATTATAAAACTCCTAGAAGGTAACATAGAAGAAAATCTAGATGACTATATAACTCCTAGAAGATAACATAGGAGAAAATCTAGATAACCTTGGATTTGGCAATGACTTTTTGAGTGTGACACAAATGGCGGGAACCTTGAAAGGAATATTAGATGAGCTGGATTTCATTGGAATTAAATATTTCTGTTCTGTGAATGACACTGTCAAGAGAATAAAAAGGCAAGTCACAGACCGGCGATAAATATTTGTGAAAGACACATCTGATAAAGGATTACTATATAAAATATATAAAGAACTCTTAAAACTAAACAGTGAGAAAATAAACAACCCAGTTAAAAAATGGGCCAAATGCCTGAACAGACATCTCACTTAAGAAGACATACAGGCTGGGCACGGTGGCTTACACCTGTAATCCCAGTACTGTGGGAAGCTGAGGCAGGTGGAGTACCTGAGGTCAGGCGTTCAAGACCAGCCTGGCCAACATGGGGAAAGCCTATCTCTACTAAAAATACAAGAATTAGCCAAGTGTGGCAGCGTATGCCTGTAATCCCAGCTACTCAGGAGGCTGAGGTGGGAGAATCACTTGAACTCGGGAGGCAGAGGTTGCAGTGAGCTGAGATTGCACCACTGCACTCCAGCCTGGGCAATAGAGCAAGACTCTGTGTCAATTAAAAAAAAAAAAAGACATACAGATGGCAAATAAGCATTTGAAAAGATTCACCACACCATAAGTCATCAGAAAAACATAAATTAAACCAACAAGGAGATACACCTGTACACCTATTAGAATGGCCAAAATCCAGAATATTGACCACACCAAATGCTGGTGAGGATGTGAGTAACAGGAACTCTCATTCGCTGCTTGTGGGAATGTGGCATAATACAGCTCTTTTGGGAAGACATTTTGGCAGTTTCCCGCAAAACTATACACATTCTTTCTATGTGATCCAGCTATCACAGTCCTTGGAATTTACTCAAAGGAACTGAAAACTTATGTCTACACAGAAACTTGCACACAAATGTTTATAGTAGCTTTATTCACAATTGTCAGAAGCAACAAGAGGTCCTTCAGTAGGTGAATGGATAAATAAACTGTGAGATCCAGACAATTATTTAGAAGGATTTGGTACTAAAATGAGCAAATAAGCTGTCAAGCCATGGAAGGAGATGGAGAAAATTTAGGTGCCTAATTCTTTTTTTTTTTTTTTTGAGACAGATAATTCTTTTCTCTTTTTTTTTTTTTTTTTTGAGACAGGATCTCACAGTATCACCCAGGTTGGAGTGCAGTGGTGCAATCACAGCTCATTTCAGCCTCAATCTCCCAGGCTTAGGTAATCCTCCCACCTCACCCCGCAAGTGACTGGGCCTGCAGGTACATGCCACCGTGCCTGGCTAATGTTTTTATTTTTTGTAGAGATGGGGTTTTGCCATGTTGCCTAGGCTGGTCTCAAACTCTGGGCTCAAGTGATCCACCTGCTCAGCCTCTGAAAGTGTTGAGGTTACAGGCATGAGCCATTGCACTTGGTATAAGTATATAATTCTAAGTGAAAGGAGCCAATTTGAAAAGGCTACAGACTGTGATTTCAACTATGACATTCTGCAAAAGGCAAAACTATGGAGACAGTAAAAAGATTAGTGTGGTTGTCAAGGGTTAGAGGGGAGGGACAGATGAATAGGCAGATCACAGATTTTTAGGGCAGTGAAACCACTCATATTATAATGATGAATACATGTCATTATACATGTGTCCAAATCCATAGAATGTACAATACCAAGAGTGAGCCCTTATGTAAACTACAAACTCTGGTTGATAATGATGTGTCAATCTAGGTTCACTGAATGTAATAAATGCCCCACTCTGGTTGGGGATGCTGATAATGTGGGAGGCTATGCAAATGTGGGGGCAGGGGGCAGGGATCTATGAGAATTCTTTGTACCTTTTTGTCCATTTTCTTGTGAATCTAAAACTGGTCTAAAAATAAAATCTCAAAAAAGTCTAAGTACGAATAACCTTATTTTCATTTTGTTAATTTTTTTTAACAGAACTTGGTCAACTGGTAAGTGTTATGTTTTGTTTGATGTTTGCAGCTAGGCTGGACAATCAATAAGGGTGTTATGACTCTTGTTGGAAACTCAGATTGGGGCTGAAAATCAGTTGAGTTTAATTCAACAAATATATGTTGAGCATATGCTATGTTTAAAGCATGTAAGAGGCCAGGAGCGATGGCTCACGCCTGTAATCTCAGCACTTTGGGAGGCCAAAGTGGCCCGATCACCTGAGGTCAGGAGTTTGAGACCAGCCAGACCAACATGGCAAAACCCGTCTCTACTAAAAATACAAAAATTAGCCAGGCATGGTGGCGCTTGCCTGTAATCCCAGCAACTTGGGAGGCTGAGGCAGGAGAATCGCTTGAACCTGGGAAGCAGACATTGCAGCGAGCCAAGATTGCACCATTGCACTCCAGCCTGAGTGACAAGAGCAAAACTCCGTCTCAAAAAAAAAAAAAAAAAAAAGGCATATAAGAGACTCAGTCCCTTCCTACAAGAAGCATGCAATCAAACACAAAAAGCAATAATACTATGAAAAGTGTGTAAGCTCTTTAAGAAATTAAAATTCTCCAGGATTCAGAGGGACAGGGAATAATATCTTGTGAATATAAACGAAGATATCATGAAGAGGGAGCGTTAGCAGTGTCAGTAAAGCATAGGATGTATTGTGAAAATGACTAATCCAGCTGGGGTGGCCTGCAGATTGCATTTAAGGAGTGATAGCAGATGATAGACCTGTAGGCTTTTATCCCCTTATGCATTTGGGTCCTGGCTCCCAGGGAGTCATGGCAAATTACATATTAGAATCCGAATCTGCACATCTTCTTTAGAAAGAATGTGTTATGAATAGTTTGGGAATAAAATGATGCCAGTTAGCTTCTGACAATGCAGTCAGGTGGGAACCAAGCAGCTGACGTTCTGCTCTCCAGTTCTGTAATGTCACCTGGTCTCTCTCTGTCTCAATTCTTCCACCTGTGCAGTATAATTCTAGGATTCTTTCTAATCTCAGAAAACATCAGCATAATAAAACATTTTATTTGACTAGGAGTTTACTCTTCATAAAATAGCAACACATATATTCTCTCTTTGATTTATACAACCAATCTTTCAGATGTTTTGGCTGACATTTTAATCTCTATTTTGTAGGCATAGAAATGGAAGTTCAGAGAAGAACAGTCAATTAGCTAGGGTCACACTGCTTTCAACCTGAGAATCTCAGTTCAAATCCACTTCTGCCACCAAACCACTACTGAGCTGCCTCTCTCCTCAGCAAGGTGTGAATAAGGTGGGTATAAAAATATTTTGTGATAGAGGTAAAGTTAAAAGCCCCTTTAGGACAAACCAACTAATATTCATAGTCATGTAACTAGATTTTTTTTGTATGTAACCTTTTGTTTGTTTGTTTTTTTGTCAGGGTCTCACTCTGTTGCCCAGGCTGGAGTGTAGTGGCATGATCTCAGCTCATCGCAGCCTCTGTCTCCTGGATTCAAGCAATTTTCCTGCCTCAGCCTCCTGAGTAGCTGGGATTACAGGCGCACACCACCCTGCCTGGCTATTTTTTATATTTTTGGTAGAGACAGGGTTTCATCATGTTGGCTAGGCTGGTCTCAAACTCCTGACCTCAAGTGATTCCCCCACCTCGGCCTCCCAAAGTGCTGGGGTTACAGGCATGAGCCACTGTGCTTGGCCTATATGTAACCTTTAAGAACAAAATAAATGAAAAGCAAATAATAACAAAGAATAACAAAACAAGAAATAAAACCTAGTGTCAGAGAGAGTAAAAACAGAAGTAGTTGGGTCAATACGATATTAAGTGTCTTTGACATGATGCAATGGGAAACATATATGTTGTATTTAGCCCAAACTGCGTACCGTGAATCCATCAGAAATTCGTACCATGGAACTGTACCTTTCATGGAAACATGCAAGACAGAGGAATAAGCTAACTGGGTCCATGAAGCAGCAGCCAGTCAAATCCACAAGGTAGGGCATTCTGGCAGAACAACTTGCTCAGCCTGCTTGACAGATCAATGTCCTAAATCATAGGATGGGGTTGGGAACGCAGAGCAGTGGGAGGGAAGATTAAAAGGGGACCTGAGGAGAATTTGGGGTGATAACTTGATTGTGATGATTTCACGGATGATTACACGTGATAAGAAGTACTGCATTGTACATTTTAAATATGTACAGTTTATTGTATGTCAATTATATTGCCATAAAACTGTTAAAAATGTCAATGGTGAAAGCTATTCGTTTAACTACAGGGATGCTCATCGTAAATTTCTGGATATCTAAGTCTCTCCCTCTAGGCTGGTGTTTTGCCTGATTTATCCATTTCATACTCTTTAATGGTAGAGAAGACTACAGGGCTGGCACGGGTGCTTGTTTGAATCTGTGCCTCTTTGGGGCACATAATTTGAGCAGTCAATTTAGTCAAAGGGATTTTGCTGGTAGTGAGGATGTGCAAAGAATCATGGGGTTTGTTTGCATGGTAAAAAGCTGCAATGCACTGCCATTCTGAGAGGCTCAGGATAATCCTGGCTGGAAAATGGCATGGACTATGTCCCTGGTGAGTGGAAGGGCTCGGTTTATTTCTATCTGACTTCTTCTGATTCCAAATTGTGCTTTTATTCCCTGTGTTCCAGTGGATTGGGGACTGGTATTTGTGTGCGCAGAGAGGCACCTTTGCAAAATCTCATTTGCATAAGCCCACACACGGGAGAACGTTTCCAAGATCCAAAAGTGGGAATAATACTGCTCCTGCAGATAAAAATAAAGGAGCTCTTTGAAATTTGGGAGACCCATTCAGCAACTCCAGTTTACATACTCTTTAAGTTATAGGAAATATTTCAACACTGATTTATAGTCGTGATCAGCCTGGCAGCTATTCCTGTGGCCTTTTGTGCTAAAAAACATCTCCTTTTCTATGTATTGACACCTGAGAGCACTCTCACACAGTCACATACATGCTTTCTTTTATTTGGAAAGAGCTAAATGCAGGAATATATTTTGAATAAATTATTTCTTCCAAAACAAACGCGTGGTCGTTTTAACAGCATCGACTGACAGGGGCAGTCACTAAAATAGAAAGTTGACCCCAAACATTTTTCCAGTTTCTGTTGCATAATTAAAACAAAAAGTCAGCTGTCTGAGTAGTAATAACTATAGCTTCCATAGACACAACGCCAGGAGACCAATTCATTTATTCAAAGAGCATGGTGCCTTTCAGCCCTGACATCTTAAAATATTTCCAAATGAACAGGAACCTTTTGGATTGCCCGGGATGCATAATCATTTTTTCTTCTATTATTCACATCTCCATCATGATTCCCAACTGACTTATTTTAGAGGGCCTTTGGCTTATAAATGTATGCTGTGGTGTGTGCATGAACGTATGTGTATGTGTGTGTGAATGTGTGTGCAAAACCAAGCCAACCACTGAAAATAGGCTAAAGGTTAAACCATCTTCTTTCTTTTTTTTTTTCTTTTTTTTTTTTTTTTTTGAGACGGAGTCTCGCTCTGTCGCCCAGGCTGGAGTGCAGTGGCGCGATCTCGGCTCACTGCAAGCTCCGCCTCCCGGGTTCACGCCATTCTCCTGCCTCAGCCTCCCGAGTAGCTGGGACTACAGGCGCCCGCTACCACGCCCGGCTAATTTTTTGTATTTTTAGTAGAGACGGGGTTTCACCGTGTTAGCCAGAATGGTCTCGATCTCCTGACCTCGTGATCCGCCCGCCTCGGCCTCCCAAAGTGCTGGGATTACAGGCGTGAGCCACCGCGCCCGGCCTCTTTCTTACAAACACATAATCATCCTCCTTAGGTGAGAATCTTGGCGGTTTCTGAGATAGGTGATTTCAGGGCCTTCTCTCCTTCCTTGTTTGCTACTTCCACTACCAACTTGAGACTCATCTTTGATTCTTCAACTAAGCTTAAGGGCAGAAATGGTGTGAAGTGCTTGAGATCATTAATAAGTTGGAGGTGGAGGAGCGTGTGTGGTCACCTGGTGCTATGCTGGGCACCAACCCACAACCTGCCCCCACTGACTTATTTCCTCTTGAGAGACACGGAGCCAACACAGCACCCCGACCTGAAGTGAGTTGACTAGTGGCATCTGACAAATGCTGCACATTCAGTAGCTGTTTTTTTACTGAGACTTTTCATCTGGAAAAGGGAGAGGTTAAAATTATGGGGAGCAATGAATGGAAAGAATGAAATTTGCACTCTCAGGCTGAGTAGATTTGGAAACCCAGTAAATAAGTATGAAAGAAAGAAAAGCTAAGATACCTGGAAACACAGCCAGGGCTGCAACAGAGCCAATCGAAGGATTTTCTCTGCTTTGCAAGCGGTGAGAATGATGAAGCCTGCTGAGAAAGTCCCTGACTCTTCGTATCACCGGGCCTTGGCACGGTGGGTGAAACACTATTATAAGCTTCATGGCCTTGGCTTCGTTCCTGGACCTTCCACTTCTGATGATTGTATGGGATAGGCTTGCAGAGTAGTTTTTGTAGAATATTTCCTTAGAACATTATGCCCTTCTTCTACCAAATGAGTTCTTTGTGGACCTTAACATTTAAGAATACCCAGAATTTGGTGTTTCTAACTCCATCTCCTGGAGCATTCCTATATCCTAGTGTTTATTAATAAGTGACTTGTAAAATTATAGCATCAACCTTCTTTTAAAACTAATTTGTGATGCACTGAAATCAGGATTAAATAAACAGAATATTTTCTTTATTATATTAGGACTCTGTTAACTTTATTTTCAACTACAAAATGGATACTTACGAAATAGCAACATTTTAATACCTGCTGGTAGGTTTCTATGTCCAGGGTGGACAACGAGTCTCTGAGGCAGCCTACCCTGCACGGTCGTGAGAAGAGATAATTGAATAGGTAATTCAAGATGTTTAGATTACAAGAAAAAAATAAAATTCTGGCTTACACATACATTTATATATATATATTTATGGATACATTACTTATGGATACATTTACATATATCCATAATATACTTTATGCATATTATGGATTTGTAATGCAGAACCATTGGAAGCTCAATTTGCAGACAATTTCACTACTTCCACAAATTTGCCGGCATAGCTCTGTATTTAATTTTGATTTCCATGTTTTTTTCCACCTGTGGGCATACTCTTTGACCCTAGGAACACAGTTTGACCTTTTCAGCTCCTTTATTCAGTTTAACATTAATTTTTCTTCTTTATTCTGAACTGGTTTTCACTGTACTTAGTGAACAATGAAGGGGCTCTGGGGCCCAAATAAACCTGTAAAGTGCCCACGAATTTTAACCAAAGAAGGCAACACTACATGATTAAAAGCTTTAAATTCTCAAAGAGCAACATGATTAATCCAGTACTACAGTGTTGAGTGGCTTCACACTGCCTTCATTTGTTGGTATTGTTATTTTTCTTGGTTATATTTGATTAGTTGCAATGATAATTTTAGTTCGAACAGTAAATGTGAATACCTCTTTGCGATTGCAAAATGTCTTAACTATTTCAGTAATCTTTTAAACTTCCCATTTCTGTCTTTGTGATGAAAAGGAATGGAAGAGGGAGATCTGCCCACGAAGATAGATTCCCCTAAACCACACACTGGGGCTACTACCGTAACGGCAAACACAAAATTTCTCTTACGTTTTCTGTATTTAGCAGAACTCAAGGAAGATGGTTCAAATGGTTTTCTACCCAGCTTGATTTCTATCTAGCCACTTTAAAGATCTCTAGAATCCCACAGTCTTCCTTGCTAGCCCACCGTAGTTGTTGAAATTGAAAAAAGTATATGCATAATTTTTACCCAAACTCTACTTTCACCTTTTCTCTTTTGTTTGTTCCTTTGCAAATATAGAGGAAATTCACGTGGTGTCTTTGTAATATTGTTTCAAATATCCAAGGGTGTCTAGGAGGGCATTTTTCTAGCTTCACTTTTCCAGGTGAAAACACCTCTACCATCATTAATCTTTCAGCACAGAGCTTTTTAAAAATATCACTTTGTGTTTATATTTCTATATTCATTTTTAAAAACTTGAGCCCTGAACTTGTTGCAGTAAAGGAACGATACAATGAATATTTGAACTGAGTAGTGATTTCTCTTCTTGCATCATCTCACATTATTCTGGAGAGATAAATATTGTTATAACCATTATTATATTGATATGCCTATTATTTTTAGTTGCTGAGAAAATCTAGCTTCAGCTTGTGATGTGCCAGGACCACCAAAACTGTGTTTTTGTGTTTTTGCCTACCTATCTTTCACTCAGGTTTTGAAGAGGCTTATAGTTTTTTGACTCTGAGGATGTTAACATGCATCTATCCTCCGTGGTTTATATTCTTAAACTAATTTGTTTTGGGAGTTCAAAGTTCTTGAAGATAAGCTCTAGCAGGCTAAATAAATCTGTTTTCAAAGTCAATTTCTCTTTCAAAATGTCACTTACAACAAAATGGATTTCTTTTGTTGCAATAGGTTAACTACCGGTAGTAAACTGACGATGACATACTGAAGAATCTATTTGGGCTTTAATTACATAACATGTGGCTACTGTTGAGTTAGAAATGTAATAATATTTCTGTTGCATGCTGTGATTCATCTTGGATGGATATTCAGGGCCAGGGATATGAAAGCCTGATATCACTGATAAATAACTATAAACAAAAAGTCAGCCTTAACATGTTTTTCAATGGGTCAGCCAACGGAAGCATTTCTTATCATCTTACCCTGTATTTTCCAGCATCCACAAACAATTTTACTCTCTCTTCTGAGCATTATGTGAGAAATAGTGAACTTTCAGTATTTCTTCCTGTTTTCACCTCGGTTTAGCTACTGACATAAACATTCTTTGAACCTGTTTTCAAATGGATTGAATAGCTTTTATAGCCAAAATCAATGTCATATTAGTTTGAGACTGGTCAAAATTTAAAGAGTTAAGAGTTCTTGAAACTTGTTCTCTATCAGTGTATGAATATCCTGGATTTTTCTTGTGCTTTTATTCTTTGGGGGAAACTAGGGAGGAATTGCAACATATGAGGCAATTCCCCTTGAACGATCCTAAATATTAACTTGTAGCCGCTTGCTTCTGAACAACCACGGAGAAATAACCAGAGATTAATAAATGTTGCTCAATTTCATGGTTGTTCTTGGGCAAGTTCCTCCTCACAATATTTTGAGTGTACACAGCAGCTGCTGCACGCTTAAAATGAAAGGTTTTTCACGTTCACCTCTTAGCCCCTGTAATATTTCAGCTAAGCCTGCCTGAGGACTTCCTCTCTTCCTTTGATGGAAATAATAAAGTATGATGAGTTTGCAATAACAGCTCTCCTTTCCACCACCATCTTATTTCTTAGAAGTGGAACAATAGCTCCTTGTACTGCTGTGAATAAGACCCTTCAGAACAGTGGAGTTCAGACCAAGAAGCTGGAATGGGGCTTTGTTTGTGCCAAGTGCTGTGGGGGTCATGGAAAGACATCTTGACACTGAGTTGCCATGGAAGCATTTGATGTTGTAGTGACACTTCTCTTTTTCGGCAAGTGGTTAATGTGCTCTCCAATTAACACATCAGAAAGCAAAGCTACTATGTCAAAAGATCATCTGGTAGATTCCAAGGCTCTTGCCTATTTCTCCCTCCACCATTGCTGGTTTGTTTGCACTTTTTTTTTTGTCAATTTAGCATTAAAATTTTCCTTAAAGAAAGACATCACTTGCTCCAAAGACCAGGGTCATGGAGAAGGGGGTCACTTTTACTACAAAATGAGACTTCTTAGGCACACAAATTTCCCTTTTGTCACGTGCTTCCTCATCTGCCTACCATGCCTGCAAATCTCTGTATTCGGAAGTGACTGACCTGCCAGGACACAGGGTGAGAAGCCACTACAGGGAATCAGGCCAGTGCTGGAGGATCTCAGCTTGCGTTGTCTCTGTGGTGCAAAGTCACCAGGCAGACGTTCAATGGTGGCAGCTGCTGCTGAGTTTTTAACTCACTGAGAAGTCATGCACATTTTAGTCTTATCTTAAGCCTGGGCAAATATCTAACTGTCTACTGGAGTCACTGGATCTGAGCCCTGAAGGGTGGACCTTTCCACATGAAGTCTGAGTGCATTTCTTTGCATGGATTGTTCTACCTTGGACATATGCAGGTAAATTGTGATATGAAGAGAATTTATGTCTCCTAGTGGCTGAGCTGGTACAGTGGACGTGGTTGGAGGCCGCTCAGACCCTTTTACCAGGCGGGTGCTCCCATGCACCCAGTGCTGTGTGCTGGCTGTTAATGGCTCACAGCTGTTCTCCTCTCCAGGGACTTTCCCTTGACCTCCACCCCCCGCAACTCTCCAGGAGCCTCCTCATCCCAGAGGTACCTGGGAGGCTACTTCTACTTGCAAACCCCATAGCCCTGGAGCAGGGCTGTCCTCAACAAATGATTGACTGATGTTTAGATACAAAGGTCTGTATCTCTTACCTGAGATGAGATGCTCTAGAACTTTCTGTGGGATGAGAATAAGGCTGAAATTCATCTGAAACCACCTCTTTACTTAACTATTCCCTACCTCACTTGCTTCCCTTCCTGCCTAATATGTTCCTGCTGGGGCACTCCCTCAATTCACTCCTTGCATAAGAATTCCTGTCTCAGCCTCTGCTTCAAGGGAAAGTGACCCTAGAAACGTGGTAACTAAATCTACTATGATGATGTTCTAACTTTCACAGTACAGTTATCATCACTTATATATCTATTTAACATTTGAAAAGTTAAAGGAATATACCTCATTTGTTAAAAATGCAGATAGGTGTTTACAACATTTGCCAGCAATTCCACTCCTAGGTATATATCCAAGATAAATGAACTCAAAAGGCCTTGGACATATATCTTCAAAAGGCCTTGGACAAGAATGTTCATAGCACCTTTATTCATACAAGCCAGAGCCTGGAAACCACGCAGATGTGTCTATCAGCAGAAGAATGTAAACATAAACTGTGCTGTGTTTATAAAACCGAATCCAACTCAGCAATAAAGAGCATGAGCTATGAATACACACAACCATAGTTGAATCTCAATGATATCTTGCTGAGAGAGACCAGATGCAAAAAGGAGACACTATATGATTCAATTTAAATGGAAGTCTACCGTAGACGAGTAATCCATGGTGATAAAAATCAAATCAGTGATTACTTTGCAAGAGGATGTGGAAATGGCTGGAAAGGGGCAGGAAGGAGTTTCTGGGACTGGAGAAGTATTCTGTCTTGATTTGCATTCATCAAAACTTATTGAAGAACACATTTAAGATCTGAGCATCTCACTGTATGTAAATTATACCTCAATTTTAAAAAGGCAGATGTAAAAAAAAATCTTTTTCTGAGTTTTGTTTATTTTGATCACACACTTGTGTTGAACAGGGACTATGACTAAGTTATTCAGAGTCCCCGACACAGATGACAGTGATTGGTGGCAATATGTTAGCATCCCTGTGTGTTCGTTCTGTAGAATTTTCCATTTGGGTTCAATTTACTTTAAGTTTACTTTGGATTACAGAAAGGGATAGAGAAAGATTGTTGATTCTCCAGGTTCCTTTAAAAAATGAATGTCATATAGGTCATGCTTTTGGATGACACTTTGCAAAAATGTAAAATGTTCTATCGTTCATTCATTTTTCTTCTATTACACATTTTAGTCTGCTTATGGCATTGCAGGTACTGAATTAGAGGCTAGGGAATATAAAGAAAAAAATAAATGCTGTCTCAGCCTTGAAGAATGAGGTGAAGGAATTGATTGTAGCCATTACAGCAATAAAATACTGGGAGTGCCTAAGAGAAGTACTGTACTAGGCATAGCAGCTGCTGAATGGAGCGGGTGGAGAAATCCATCTGGGGGTGCTAGGAAAAGCTTGCTAAAGTAAGTGGTGGTTGGAATAAACACCCACAGCATCAGTAAGCCACAGAGATGGCATGGGCTTGCTGAAAGGTGAACACTCTAGACTTAGGTAAACCAAAATTAAGACCTTTGCTCCAACACACACTATCACTTGGGCAATTTTCTTATCCTTTTTGAGCCTCCACTTTACTATTTTTAATCTGGGATAAAACTTACCTTGCAATGTTGCTATGACATCATACATAGCTATTGTTGTTATTATTATATCTGTGAAAGGTGACATATTTAAGTCATGATCATCCGTGAACAGTTTATCAATTAGCAACCCAATTTAACAGCAAGAAAAGGTTCCTGATGAAATTCTTTTGGGGGAATCAAAGGTAAGTTCCATTTTATTGCCATTTCCTGCTTCTAGAGGAGGCCTGGTTTCCTTGGCTCATGGCCCCTTTCTCTATCTTCAAAGCCAGCAGCATATTCAGCTCTCTCTGAACTTCTATTGTCACATCTCCTACTTACTCTCTGCTTTTGTCGTCACGCCACCTCTCTCTCTCTGACCCTTGTGCCTCTCTCAACAACCCTGTGATCACCTTGAGGGCATCTGGATAATCCCAGAAAATCTCCCCATCTCCAGATCCTTAATCAACCCTGCTAAGTCTCTTTGAAGCCATTCTGGTGGATCTGAGTAGCTGAAGGGTACAGTTGTTGAATGAAGGAGAGGCCAGGTAGGGCTGGGGAAATGCCTTGCCTGTCACTGAGGGAGCTGGAACCGAAGGCACTAAATAGTCCTCATGCTGACAACCTGAGATCTGTGTGTCTGGAAGTCAATTCTGTTTAGGGTATGCAGGGTGGTTTGAAGGGTCTGGGAACTGGAGGTGAGGCCAGAACCTTGGATGCCATTGCAATAGGACAGGTAAGGTATGAACTAGAAAATTCACCAATGCCCAAGATGGATTCCTTCCTCACTCCCCATAATAAGAGGAGCGATTTGAAGCAAGAAGATGAGGAGGGGAGGGAGAAGCATGACATTCTTGCTTTCGAGAGTTTTGACAGAATAGGTAATTGCTAAAGGAAAATAACCTACATGACACTCATTGGCAATTACTCACTTTGAAATTCCTTTAAATATTGCAATACTGAGGGCATTTTAGACTTGATAACATAAATATTTTATTAAAGAGCAAACAATTCACTGACTAATCTTACTGGAAGAAGATTCTCTCATTATGGAAACAGTGACAAATTATTTGTACATGGGGCACATCTCTTTAATATGCTCCTGTTTCTTTATGAAATTGAGGGATTAGTCGGATCAAGAAAAACGAAGGAGCAAAAACCACTATTATCAGGCTCTTGAGGTAGCTAGTATTAAATAAAGCAATTTGAACAGCATTTCTACAACAAGGGTCTAGGTAGCTTCTGTTTGATTTTTCCAATAATCAGAGGTCAAACAATTGTGAAGCATTTTTCTGGTGAACATTTATTATTTTAACCACCCCAGTTATGCAGATCTGTTTATGAGTTCAACTCTGGGTAAGTGGTTACAAATGCCCTTCAAACCAAAGAGAAAGCTCTTTCATTGCACTTGTAGTTTCTGTAATTCTAAAAAAAGACCTAGATATTCTCTCTGTGTTATCCAGGCAAGATGTCCACGGTCTAAAAACATAAATTCCAGATAAAAACCACCAAGACTGTAATGATCAAATTCTATCAGGCCAGTTAAAATGTTGAATACTTGACCCAAAAAGGAAGAGACAAGAGCTACATAGAATAGACTCACAAATTCAGTTTAACAAGATAGAATGTATTTTATTAGGTTTGACTTCCTGAAGATGCCTTTCTGTATGCCAGAAAATTAGGAAAAAAGTGCAGAAAAACAGGCTTAAAATACTTTGATGATAAAACACATTTATAAAAGTTAGCAAATTGGCCAAGATTTTGGTTTCCTAGAAGAGGGATGCAGGAGGTTGTTTATAAATTCTGCAGATCTGGTCTTAGATCCAGCATGTATAGATTTATGTTGACTTATCTTAATGTAGACAAAGCATACTCATTACATTGCTTAATGGATGATAGTACCCATAAAAATGTCAATATTATCTTTGGATTTCAGATATGAAATGTAAGGTAATCTACAAAAGTGGAAATGTGGTTAGAACAGAAATGATGAAGTGATTGCACAACAGTTTAAGACAGAACAAATATTTCAACACTCTCAAGGCCATAAAGAGCAGGGGATTGGGACAAATAAATGGGCAAGAAGGGACCACAATGATCCTAGTGGTCCACAAGCTAACCATGTATTAGGGTTTTTTTTGAGACTCAATATTTGGATTTTAGAAAAGACTGCATCAGACAGGAATTTTTAAGTAACCATTCTCAACAGGGGAATAGTGACAATAGCTTCAAGCTTTGACGTTTTATGGGCCAAGTGTGGAATTATGTTTGCTACTTTCCTCTCTGTTTCATAGTGGCATGTTAAGTTTGCAACCAAAAATCACAGGAGCTGTAACTTTTCTTTCATTTTACAACTCAGCGTAAACCTGAATAAAAGTAAAAGTTAATAACAGGGCAAAGCAAGCCTTAATAAAATTCAACAGATCCTTCTGGATACATGTACTTCTTGGTGATTATTATTTGCTTATGAAATAGCTCAACATATTAAAAAGACATAAAGCATATTATAATGAACATCTTGTATCCCCAACTGAACTTAAGAAACAAAATATCATGAATACAATGGAAAACCTTGTGGGATGCTCCTGGAATATATTCTCCTTCCCAAATCCTTGGGCCCCTCCTTAATAACATATGTATGTAGATCCTTAAGGCATGTGTAGTATTGTTTGGTATATACTTAAACTTTATATAATTGGATTCATATTACATGCATTCTTTTTTTCTTATTCAACATTGTGTTGTGGGAATTAGTCACGTTGCTAACTTTGCCTCTACTTCATTTTTTTATTTCGTAACTTAAAAAGAAAACAGCTTTATTGAGTTACAATTCACGTACCATATAACTCACGCATTTAAAGTACTGGGCTGGTGCAAAAGCAATTATGGTTTTTGCCATTACTTTTAATGGCAAATATATGTATATACTTTTAAATATATATACTTTTAGTGTATGCTTAAGGTTACGCAACCATCACCACAGTCTAATTTTAGAACATCTTCATTACTCCCAAAAAGAAAACAAGCACCCAGCAACAATTACTCTCACTGTCCCTTTTCTCCAGCAAATCATAAGCTACCAGTCACTCATCTACTTTTTTTTCTGTGTCATATGTGTAATGCGAACATTTCAAATAAATGGACATATGCATTATTTGGCCTTTTGTGTCTGACTTCTTCTTTAACTTAACCAAATTTTTTCAGGGTTCAACCATGCTGTAGCCTCTATCAATCTGCTGAATAATATTCTGCCATATGAATATACAACATTTAATTTATCCATTCATCCATTGATGAATATTTGAATGGTTTCCACTTGTTGGCCATTATGAACAATGCTGCTATTAACATTAATGTGTAAGTTTTTTTGTGTGGACACGTTTTCTTTTTTTTTTTTTTTTATTGATTCTACCATGTGCAAGTTATTTTTTTATTTTTTATTTTTTTAATTATACTTTAAGTTTTAGGGTACATGTGCACATTCTGCAGGTTAGTTACATATGTATACATGTGCCATGCTGGTGCGCTGCACCCACTAACTCGTCATCTAGCATTAGGTATATCTCCCAATGCTATCCCTCCCCCCTCCCCCGACCCCACCACAGTCCCCAGAGTGTGATATTCCCCTTCCTGTGTCCATGTGATCTCATTGTTCAATTCCCACCTATGAGTGAGAATATGCGCTGTTTGGTTTTTTGTTCTTGCGATAGTTTACTGAGAATGATGATTTCCAATTTCATCCATGTCCCCACAAAGGACATGAACTCATCATTTTTTATGGCTGCATAGTATTCCATGGTGTATATGTGCCACATTTTCTTAATCCAGTCTATCATTCTTGGACATTTGGGTTGGTTCCAAGTCTTTGCTATTGTGAATAATGCCGCAATAAACATACATGTGCATGTGTCTTTATAGCAGCATGATTTATAGTCCTTTGGGTATATACCCAGTAATGGGATGGCTGGGTCAAATGGTATTTCTAGTTCTAGATCCCTGAGGAATCGCCACACTGACTTCCACAATGGTTGAACTAGTTTACAGTCCCACCAACAGGGTAAAAGTGCTCCCATTTCTCCACATCCTCTCCAGCACCTGTTGTTTCCTGACTTTTTAATGATTGTCATTCTAACTGGTGTGAGATGGTATCTCATTGTGGTTTTGATTTGCATTTCTCTGATGGCCAGTGATGATGAGCATTTTTTCATGTGTTTTTTGGCTGCATAAATGTCTTCTTTTGAGAAGTGTCTGTTCATGTCCTTCGCCCACTTTTTGATGGGGTTGTTTTTTTTTCTTGTAAATTTGTTTGAGTTCATTGTAGATTCTGGATATTAGCCCTTTGTCAGATGAGTAGGTTGCGAAAATTTTCTCCCATTTTGTAGGTTGCCTGTTCACTCTCATGGTAGTTTCTTTTGCTGTGCAGAAGCTCTTTAGTTTAATGAGATCCCATTTGTCAATTTTGTCTTTTGTTGCCATTGCTTTTGGTGTTTTGGACATGAAGTCCTTGCCTGTGCCTATGTCCTGAATGGTAATGCCTAGGTTTTCTTCTAGGGTTTTTATGGTTTTAGGTCTAACGTTTAAGTCTTTAATCCATCTTGAATTGATTTTTGTATAAGGTGTAAGGAAGGGATCCAGTTTCAGCTTTCTACATATGGCTAGCCAGTTTTCCCAGCACCATTTATTAAATAGGGAATCATTTCCCCATTGCTCGTTTTTCTCAGGTTTGTCAAAGATCAATTAGTTGTAGATATGCGGCGTTATTTCTGAGGGCTCTGTTCTGTTCCATTGATCTATATCTCTGTTTTGGTACCAGTACCATGCTGTTTTGGTTACTATAGCCTTGTAGTATAGTTTGAAGTCAGGTAGTGTGATGCCTCCAGCTTTGTTCTTTTGGCTTAGGATTGACTTGGCGATGCGGGATCTTTTTTGGTTCCATATGAACTTTAAAGTAGTTTTTTCCAATTCTGTGAAGAAAGTCATTGGTAGCTTGATGGGGATGGCATTGAATCTGTAAATTACCTTGGGCAGTATGGCCATTTTCACGATATTGATTCTTCCTACCCCCATGAGCATGGAATGTTCTTCCATTTGTTTGTATCCTCTTTTATTTCATTGAGCAGTGGTTTGTAGTTCTCCTTGAAGAGGTCCTTCACATCCCTTGTAAGTTGGATTCCTAAGTATTTTATTCTCTTTGAAGCAATTGTGAATGGGAGTTCACTCATGATTTGGCTCTCTATTTGTCTGTTGTTGGTGTATAAGAATGCTTGTGATTTTTGTACATTGATTTTGTATCCTGAGACTTTGCTGAAGTTGCTTATCAGCTTAAGGAGATTTTGGGCTGAGACAATGGGGTTTTCTAGATATACAATCATGTCGTCTGCAAACAGGGACAATTTGACTTCCTCTTTTCCTAATTGAATACCCTTTATTTCCTTCTCCTGCCCGATTTCCCTGGCCAGAACTTCCAACACTATGTTGAATAGGAGTGGTGAGAGAGGGCATCCCTGTCCTGTGCCAGTTTTCAAAGGGAATGCTTCCAGTTTTTGCCCATTCAGTATGATATTGGCTGTGGGTTTGTCATAGATAGCTCTTATTATTTTGAAATACGTCCCATCAATACCTAATTTATTGAGAGTTTTTAGCATGAAGGGTTGTTGAATTTTGTCAAAGGCTTTTTCTGCATCTATTGAGATAATCATGTGGTTTTTGTCTTTGGCTCTGTTTATATGCTGGATTACATTTATTGATTTGCGTATATTGAACCAGCCTTGCATCCCAGGGATGAAGCCCACTTGATCATGGTGGATAAGCTTTTTGATGTGCTGCTGGATTCGTTTTGCCAGTATTTTATTGAGGATTTTTGCATCAGTGTTCATCAAGGATATTGGTCTAAAATTCTCTTTTTTGGTTGTGTGTCTGCCAGGCTTTGGTATCAGAATGATGCTGGCCTCATAAAATGAGTTAGGGAGGATTCCCTCTTTTTCTATTGATTGGAATAGTTTCAGAAGGAATGGTACCAGTTCCTCCTTGTACCTCTGGTAGAATTCAGCTGTGAATCCATCTGGTCCCGGACTCTTTTTGGTTGGTAAACTATTGATTATTGCCACAATTTCAGCTCCTGTTATTGGTCTATTCAGAGATTCAACTTCTTCCTGGTTTAGTCTTGGGAGAGTGTATGTGTCAAGGAATGTATCCATTTCTTCTAGATTTTCTAGTTTATTTGCGTAGAGGTGTTTGTAGTATTCTCTGATGGTAGTTTGTATTTCTGTGGGATCAGTGGTGATATCCCCTTTATCATTTTTTATTGTGTGTATTTGATTCTTCTCTCTTTTTTTCTTTATTAGTCTTGCTAGCGGTCTATCAATTTTGTTGATCCTTTCAAAAAACCAGCTCCTGGATTCATTGATGTTTTGAAGGGTTTTTTGTGTCTCTATTTCCTTCAATTCTGCTCTGATTTTAGTTATTTCTTGCCTTCTGCTAGCTTTTGAATGTGTTTGCTCTTGCTTTTCCAGTTCTTTTAATTGTGATGTTAGGGTGTCAATTTTGGATCTTTCCTGCTTTCTCTTGTGGGCCTTTAGTGCTATAAATTTCCCTCTACACACTGCTTTGAATGCATCCCAGAGATTCTGGTATGTTGTGTCTTTGTTCTCGTTGGTTTCAAAGAACATCTTTATTTCTGCCTTCATTTCGTTATGTACCCAGTAGTCATTCAGGAGCAGGTTGTTCAGTTTCCATGTAGTTGAGCGGTTTTGAGTGAGATTCTTAATCCTGAGTTCTAGTTTGATTGCACTGTGGTCTGAGAGATAGTTTGTTATAATTTCTGTTCTTTTACATTTGCTGAGGAGAGCTTTACTTCCAAGTATGTGGTCAATTTTGGAATAGGTGTGGTGTGGTGCTGAAAAAATTGTATATTCTGTTGATTTGGGGTGGAGAGTTCTGTAAATGTCTATTAGGTCCACTTGGTGCAGAGCTGAGTTCAATTCCTGGGTATCCTTGTTGACTTTCTGTCTCGTTGATCTGTCTAATGTTGACAGTGGGGTGTTAAAGTCTCCCATTATGAATGTGTGGGAGTCTAAGTCTCTTTGTAGGTCACTCAGGACTTGCTTTATGAATCTTGGTTCCCCTGTATTGGGTGCATATATATTTAGGAGAGTTAGCTCTTCTTGTTGAATTGATCCCTTTACCATTATGTAGTGGCCTTCTTTGTCTCTTTTGATGTTTGTTGGTTTAAAGTCTGCTTTATCAGAAATGAGGATTGCAACCCCTGCCTTTTTTTGTTTTCCATTTGCTTGGTAGATCTTCCTCCATCCTTTTATTTTGAGCCTATGTGTGTCTCTGCACATGAGATGGGTTTCCTGAGTACAGCACACTGATGGGTCTTGACTCTTTATCCAATTTGCCAGTCTGTGTCTTTTAATTGGAGAATTTAATCCATTTAAAGTTAATATTGTTATGTGTGAATTTGATCCTGTCATTATGATGTTAGCTGGTGATTTTGCTCTTTAGTTGATGCAGTTTCTTCCTAGTCTCGATGGTCTTTACATTTTGGCATGATTTTGCAGCGGCTGGTACCGATTGTTCCTTTCCATGTTTAGCACTTCCTTCAGGAGCTCTTTTAGGGCAGGCCTGGTGGTGACAAAATCTCTCAGCATTTGCTTGTCTGTGAAGTATTTTATTTCTCCTTCGCTTATGAAGCTTAGTTTGGCTGGATATGAAATTCTGGGTTGAAAATTCTTTTCTTTAAGAATGTTGAATATTGGCCCCCACTCTCTTCTGGCTTGTAGGGTTTCTGCCGAGAGATCCGCTGTTAGTCTGATGGGCTTCCCTTTGAGGGTAACCCGACCTTTCTCTCTGGCTGCCCTTAACATTTTTTCCTTCATTTCAACTTTGGTGAATCTGACAATTATGTGTCTTGGAGTTGCTCTTCTCGAGGAGTATCTTTGTGGCGTTGTCTGTATTTCCTGAATCTGAACGTTGGCCTGCCTTGCTAGATTGGGGAAGTTCTCCTGGATAATATCCTGCAGAGTGTTTTCCAACTTGGTTCCATTCTCCCCGTCACTTTCAGGTACACCAATCAGATGTAGATTTGGTCTTTTCACATAGTCCCATATTTCTTGGAGGCTTTGCTCATTTCTTTTTATTCTTTTTTCTCTAAACTTCCCTTCTCACTTCATTTCATTCATTTCATCTTCCATCGCTGATACCCTTTCTTCCAGTTGATCGCATCGGCTCCTGAGGCTTCTGCATTCTTCACGTAGTTCTCGAGCCTTAGTTTTCAGCTCCATCAGCTCCTTTAAGCACTTCTCTGTATTGGTTATTCTAGTTATACATTCTCCTAAATTTTTTTCAAAGTTTTCAACTTCTTTGCCTTTGGTTTGAATGTCCTCCCGTAGCTCAGAGTAATTTGATCATCTGAAGCCTTCTTCTCTCAGCTCGTCAAAGTCATTCTCCATCCAGCTTTGTTCCGTTGCTGGTGAGGAACTGCGTTCCTTTGGAGGAGGAGAGGCGCTCTGCTTTTTAGAGTTTCCAGTTTTTCTGTGCTTTTTTTTTCCCCATCTTTGTGGTTTTATCTACTTTTGGTCTTTGATGATGGTGATGTACAGATGGGTTTTCGGTGTAGATGTCTTTTCTGTTTGTTAGTTTTCCTTCTAACAGACAGGACCCTCAGCTGCAGGTCTGTTGGAATACCCTGCCGTGTGAGGTGTCAGTGTGCCCCTGCTGGGGGGTGCCTCCCAGTTAGGCTGCTCGGGGGTCAGGGGTCAGGGACCCACTTGAGGAGGCAGTCTGCTGGTTCTCAGATCTCCAGCTGCGTGCTGGGAGAACCACTGTTCTCTTCAAAGCTGTCAGACAGGGACATTTAAGTCTGCAGAGGTTACTGCTGTCTTTTTGTTTGTCTGTGCCCTGCCCCCAGAGGTGGAGCCTACAGAGGCAGGCAGGCCTCCTTGAGCTGTGGTGGGTTCCACCCAGTTCGAGCTTCCCCGCTGCTTTGTTTACCTAAGCAAGCCTGGGCAATGGCGGGCACCCCTCCCCCAGCCTCACTGCCGCCTTGCAGTTTGATCTCATACTGCTGTGCTAGCAATCAGCGAGATTCTGTGGGCATAGGACCCTCCGAGCCAGATGTGGGATATAATCTCGTGGTGCGCCGTTTTTTAAGCAGGTCTGAAAAGCGCAAAATTCGGGTGGGAGTGACCCGATTTTCCAGGTGCATCCGTCACCCCTTTCTTTGACTTGGAAAGGGAACTCCCTGACCCCTTGCGCTTCCCAAGTGAGGCAATGCCTCGCCCTGCTTCGGCTCGCGCACGGTGCGCGCACCCACTGGCCTGCGCCCACTGTCTGGCACTCCCTAGTGAGATGAACCCGGTACCTCAGATGGAAATGCAGAAATCACCGGTCTTCTGCGTCGCTCACGCTGGGAGCTGTAGACCGGAGCTGTTCCTATTCGGCCATCTTGGCTCCTCCCCCCTCCACGTTTTCATTTCTTTTAGGTACATACCTAGGAGTGGAATCGCTGGGTCAGATGGTGACTCTGTGTTAAATATTTTGAGGAACGCTAAAACTTTTTCCAAAGTGGTTGCATCATTTTACTATTTTTAGTAAGCAATGTATGACAGTTCTATCTTCCCCACATTCTTGCACACATTTCTTATTTTCTGTCTTTTTCATGATAGCCATCCTAGAGAGTATGAAGTTGTATCTCATTGCAGTGCTATTTTATCTTGTCATGCTGTGTACTATTTCATTTTGTGAAAAATTCATTCTCTTGTTAATAAATGCTTAGGCTGTTTCAATTTTTTGCTCTTATAATTCAAGATGTGTACTTTTACATAGGTCTCTCTAAAATGTAGAATTAGAATTGGAATTTCTGGGTTACAGAGTATGCATATCTTTAATTTTATGAAAAATTATGGAAAATATTTTTTAACTTAACATTTTAAGTCAAATGGGAAGATATACTACTTTGGAAGCAAGATGAAGAGCAAAAGTTTAAATGTGCTTAATGAAAATAACTTTGATTCTTTTATTAAGATGTCTTACACTTTGCATGCCATTTCTACCCAAGTCAATGCTCATGATAATTTCAATGGGGGCCTTTTTGTTCTGCTTTATTTGTTTTATTTTTCTTTTTAATTTCCCTCGATTGTCTCAAATGAGGCTGTAATGAAATACTACGAAGGGACAGGTCGAACTTTGCACTGTCCTCTATCATTCCCTGGATGTGAGACCAGCATCTGCGGAGCATCAAATAGTCTGAACGTTTCCTGATGGTTGCAATGTGATTGGCATTCCTGGAGCAAAGTCCTAGTCCATCCACACAGAATGAGCAGATTACGGCGGGTGGATATCCTGGCTGTGTTGTCTCGGGCATCGATCTAAATGGCCACTTAAATCATCCCGCTGCAGAGATCGATGTGAAGGTGGCAGAAGTGAGCAGAGGAACAGCTGCACTCCAGGGGAATCCGAATGTAGCCTCTCAGGCATCACTCTGTCCTCGAAAGCAAGTGGGCACAATCGGACATTTTCAGTTTACCTACACTACACGCGGGTCCTTCTGCAGTGTTGGGATGTCTGTCTCCAGAAACCAGTATTTTGGGAACTCCAGAGATATCTGGGGTCCTGGGAATTCACTTGCCTCTTCTAGATGCATGAGGGAATCATTGAATCACTCCAGATCCAACTTAAAATCTACTGGTTTTTGCAAGTCTATTATGACTCAGAGGTAATGTCAGTGAATTTAAGCTGTTGTCTAAGATAAGCTGTGTTGTCTGTGGTACCACATCCCTTTCTATGAGATGTATCCCTAAGATATATCTGTATGTAAAACATATAACACGAGTTTTGGGAATGATCCAACCCATTTTTTCCCCCCAGAGGAAACAGTTGGCAATATTAACTTGAGTACTGTAATACTGATCTGAGTATGGTAATGTTGACCTGAGTTTGGTAATATTGACCTGAGTATATACAAAAGAGAAAACCCAGCCCGCTATCTAATTACAATTTCTGACCTCTGCAACAGAATAAAGGACCTATGTTTTTACCCTGAGATGCTCAAGGCAAATGCATTCAGAAAATGTTGTTGCCTTTTGTTTATGAGATCATTTAGATAACAAAAGCCATACCATTTTTGGCTATGAAGAGTATGTAAATGTGTGCTGGGTTATCTATGAGAATCGCGACTTTCACCAGCATGAAAAAATGAGAGGATAATGGTTTCTTTAGACCAGTGCCCGTTTCAAAAGGGGATAGATGGGAAATCAGTTTTCTTCTAGCAGCTGAAAATCCAGGACTGAAATCTTCAGCCTTGCAAAGTTACAATATACCATAAGGAAAGGTGAGCAACACATAACATTTCAATGCAGTGGCTCTCAGGAGGGGAGAAGATGGGTAATAGCCGACAGCATCATCTGTAAGCGGTGCGCCCCTCCTCATCATTTCACTTATTGAACCCAATGGAATGCAGCTATAGTAATATTTTTGAGAAGATCAAATTTCCAATAAGCTTGCTCTAATATTTTGGGATAATCATGACATTTAAGGATGTCTTCCTTCGGGCTGCTGGGTACCACGGTCAATCATCTTGGATATTAAGAAACAAAATTACCAAACCGTAAAATATTCTTCAACAAGCTGTAAGAGAAAATCAAAATATACACCTGACCCATTTAAGCTACAGACCATTGCTTCCAGAACACGATCTATCATGACATAGAGCCGAGAGGAAAGGCTATAGACTTGCATGGTTCAGTGTGATGCCATGTAATAGTTGTTGCTGTTATTCTTTCGCTTTGGCTGATGGGGAAATTGTACTTTCTTTTACCTACTGCAACCCTTCCTGTCCACTTTTAGGAAACTAGTGAGCGATAAGTATGCATGAAAGAGCATTTTTGATACCAGACGCTGAGCTGAGTTTGGCATATGGACTGGGATGTATCAAAGGTGATCTCTTACTTCAAGGACTTTATAGCCTAGTAAAGGCAGACAGACATGATGAAAGGAAGTGCTTCAGGGAGCTACATTAATGACTATCCAGGGATACTGGTACGGGTTCCCTGGGATTTTTAGGATGGATGCTGGATGTTGATATAGAAGAGACCACATCCAAGAGCTGAGTCCTGGGCTTCAGGTAAATGACGTCAACATGGGGATGAGGTGCTACTGTGCCTGGGCAGTGGGTTTTTGCTTTACATTGCTGCAAGGTGGTGGGCAGTGGATAAAATCGTATACTTTCATATATCCTGAGGATAGCACAACTGGAAATTTCTTGAAGGGTAAGTAAATTTGTACATGAAGTTTGGAGTTAAAAACATCTGTAGTTGAATCCTAACTCTATCACTAATTCAGGGTCTGAAGGAAGTGGATCAAAATGCAGGTGCTTTTCTCTCCCGTAACAATGGATTGGTCCTAAGCAGCTCACCTCTTTCACAGAGCAGTGCCCAGGATTCAGTTAAATGGCAAACTAGTGTTTTCTAAACTGCGATGACAGGCCCATGGAATCTTTTTGGAATAGCAGGTTTATTTAGTGGTAAGCCCATTAAAACATTTTAAAACTGTAAATGATGATGTTTATCATGGAAGATAAAAATACACACAAAGTTTTAAAAGAAAGCAAGCCTTGAAATATTTTTTCTTGCCTGATTTTGGGGACTATTTCTCCAAGGCCCGGGGATATGCTCCATCACGTCACAGAGGAAAAGTGAGAAAAGTGCTGTCCACGGAGGCACCATGTAAAATGCAGAGCGCTGTCCAAATGGTGCTGTTAATGATCTGTCGTCATCATTTATTGATGAGTAATCTAAGTCCTTATTAAGCAAGAGCTGCCCTTTGGCTGTGGAACAATGGCTCTGGAATTTGGTGACTATATGTTATCCGCATTGATGTTTGCATTTGCAAATTGTCTTTCATTTATCAGAAAGACCTGGGAGAGTTGAGATCAAATCTAAAACGGCTTTTATGTAAAGGCAGGGAGGGTGTCCATACCCACATGTGGAGCGGGCGGGCAGTGGGTTCAAAGGACAGGAAATCGCAAGGAGCAGAAAGTTTTCTTACAGCAGGTGATGCTTCAGCAAAGTCCTGAAGCAGGTGTAGGGTTGAGACTGGAGGAGGAATGGGGAAACAGGAGTTTGACACAAAGGGAGTTAAGGAAACGGGAACCAGGAGGATAGGGGCAAGGGCTAGGCTGTGAGTTATGTAAGGCAGAGCAGTTAACTTAGACCCTGCTTATCATGCTCAGAAATCAGAATTAAGTCCAAGGAAAGGAGGAGTATGTGACCCTATTTATAATGTCACAGAGATATTAGATGGCAGGAAATGCAATGTATCCTTCAGTTCATCATCCCTCATGCCAACGAGTAGGCTAGCAGGGGAGTGGCATGACCAGGCTGTGTGAGGTCCAACACTCATCAAAGGGCAGGGAGAGATCATTAGCGTGGGGCAAACTGTTTCACCCTTCTGGGCTTCATTTCTTCACTCTCTTAGCACAAAATTGTGCAGCTAAGTTAATGCCAAGCGAAGCTGAAGTATTAGAGAAAGGCTCTTGGCAAATAAAATGCCATGCAAGTTCCACAGAATGATGTGGCACCTCAGTGGCACCTGCTCTTCGTCAGAACATCCTGGGTCAGTATTTCATCACAGCTTGTCATAAATATTCCATGAAACAAAACTCAGGAAGTAATACTAGATTTGGATAAATATTCCAGCCTTGGAAGTCTTTGCAGTCATTTTCAAAACATGTAATCCATTTCTTAATTATGCATGGAGGTGGATGTGACTGCCATCATATTTAACACTACCAAGTGTTGTAGCAATGGAACAGAATGAGACTTGGTTAAGCAGTGAGGGGGCAAAGTAAGGGGCTGAGAAACGACGTGCAAAAAACCAAGTGAAGCTTGATGGATGTGACAAATGATGAACCAATGTTTAACGAGAGATTTGTGGATGAGCATCAATTAGCCGTGGCTTTCGTTGAAATGGATTTGTTGATTTCCATTTGTCCCAGGCACATACTCTGTCTTTGTTCATGGATGTTTACTGATTGGTCCTTAGGGAAATTGTGAAGTAGGTGAACTTTGGTTTTGACGGTTTTCTACCTTCCTTTCTGTCCCCATTCCAGACTCTACTCTTTGTAGCTTTTTATCTGTAGGTGCTCAGAGCACTTAGATGATCTCAGATGCCCTGTCTCATAGGGAAAAAACAGACCAACACATGCCTAGTAACTGCCTAATATCTGCCCATATTAGATCTTATCTGAAAACCTCAATGGAGAATGAGACGTCAAGTTCTCCAGTGTCCTAGCCCAAAAGATTAGGATTAGTGCATCTGGAAAGGTTAATACTCTTCATCACTTCAGAGTAAACTGAAGCCACAGGAAGTTAGCATCCTGATGTCAGTCTCAGCCAGCCAGACACAAAACCAGAACGAGTTACCCTATGTCATGCTTTCATGGAATCACAAAATAGAGTTGCTTCTATACATGGAAGAGGGTTTTAGACAGGAATATCTTCTTTGCCTTCAATCATTTGTCAATCTCAGAAGAAACTTATTGAGTACCTGTTCCCCACCAGGCACTTTGTAGGCACAGGAGATGTACAGTGAACAGGACACTCTCCCTGCACTCTGGAAGCTTATCATCTAACCATTAATCAAGCAAATTTATTTTTTATTTTTTTGAGACAAAGTCTTGCTCTGGCACCTAGGCTGAAGTGCGGTGGTGCAATGATGGCTCCCTGCAGCCTTGAACTTCTGGGCTCAAGTGATTTTCCTGCCTCAGCCTCCTGAGTAGCTGGGACTACATGGGCGTGCTACCATGCCTGCCTAATTTTTCTATTTTTTGGTAGAGACTAGGTCTTACTATGTTGCCAAGGCTGGTCGCAAACTCCTAGGCTCAGGTGATCTTCCCAGCTCAGCCTCGCAAAGTGCTGGGATTATAGGCATGAACCACCGCACCCAGGCACAAATTCTTAATCACAATTGCGACAAAGGTTTAAAAGTAAATCATGAGCAGTGGCTGTCTTCTAAGGCTGGCCTATGTGAGTAGGGTGGAGTACAGAATTGCCAACAATCCAGCCAGCCCCTGAAAGTGAATGGTGCTTCTCCCTGAAACATGTATTCAACAAGGGGGGATTCCACAGAACTCAACAAGGGGGGATTCAATCTTGCCAACCAACAGCATCTCATCCCCCCTGAATAAGCAAGCTACATGGCACCCTACTGTCCTGAAAGCATCCATGTTCTTTCAAAAGAGGCCAGTATCCCCAGGAGATCATTCAGAACCCTGGCAGGATATTTTCGTTTTTGGTTTGTTTTCACAGCTGCTGGGAGAGAGGCGCTTTCTCTCAGTGTATCAGCTAAATTTTCCACACAGTGCCTTGACGTACAGTTGTCCCACTTCATCCGCCTGTCACTGAGATTTTCAATATGATGTGAAAAAGTTGAACCCCATCTGACATTTTCTAAGTCACTGCTGATTTGCTGACATTCTCCCAGTTGTCTGGGTGGCAACTGTGAACTGCTCCAAAGTGCATTTGCCAGAAGAGCCCGCTGTGTGCAAGGAAGCCCAGGACGTGGGGGGAGATACTTTAGACACTAGTGGGGCTAAAATAGGGCCTTTGTTTCATTTTTCTAGCAAACCACGTCAGAAAAGAGATCCATGGACATCCCTTGCTACACAGATGGCTGGCAGCTTCCTATACCTCGCCCAGGCTGATCCTGCCTCAGACAAAATCATGGAAGCAGATGAAGATGAGTCTATCAGCTGCTTTTGTGCCAGAGGATACTGAGTCACAGGGTTTGGTTCAGTGTGACGTGCCTGCTGGGCTCAACTGCGGTGAAAACCAGACCTGTAAGAATCAAGCTGACACTACTCTGTCTCCAGGAAGAAGCTCTGAAGTGCAAACACACACACACACACACACACACACGAACACACACTGTGCAGTTTCCTAATTGAATCTAAAATGTAAGTGCTTTGCTGTTTAAAAGGACCTTGCTATCTTGATAAGAAAAACTAATGAGATGCCCTTTCCAGAGCTGGTCACACAATAGTCCTAGTGACAAGGACCCCTATCAAGAAATAAAGCAGAAGATAAATGAGATTTTTCTAATATCCATTTCACCCACTGTTCACCAGTGTCAGGCAGTACAGATTCTATTTATCACGTGGCAGCAGACAGGAGACATGAGTCTGTAAAGAAAGCTTCAGTTGCAGCCTCATGTTTTCAGCCACAGGTAAACCTCTTTTGTCAGCTGGTAGAAAACAAAGGCAAGGCTTGGGTTTGGGGGATGCTGGGGATCCAGGACAGGATGATGTCCTTAATCTTGCATTTTTACCTTAGGGCTGTGATAACATCCAAGAAATTAACTTTTGGAAGACAGGGGAGAAACAGATTATTTCTGACTGACTAATTTAATGGGTTACGATTTATAACCCACTAAACTGTAACTGTGTCAAAGGTTCAACATGCAAATGAGAGTTAAGAAATTGCCACTTAAGACTGTCACAATTTAAAATTTTCAGAGCCTACGTTAAGACATAAAGTAAAATATTGATGTTCACTTTCAGGTTGAGGAGAAGGCTGGGTAGGTTTATAGGAAACTCCTGTTGTCCTCTTCCCTAGAAGGAACTCTATAGAGGTCAATATTTAGATGTTGTTTTATAACCTCCATTATAAATGATAGTGTTAGACTAAAGAATCAGATCTAAACCTGGGAAATATTTATAATTCTGTGGTCCAATTTTTCAAAAAATTTACCTGTATTAATCCATTCTCACATTGCTATAAGGACATACCTGAGACTGGGTAATTTATAAAGGAAAGAGGCTTAATGGATTCACAGTTCCACAAGGCTGGGGAGGCCTCACAATCATGGTAGAAGGCAAAGGTGGAGCAAAGTCACGTCTTACATGGTGGTAGGCAAGAGAGCATGTGCAGGGGAACTGCGCTTTATAGAACCATCAGATCTCGTGAGACTTACTCACCACCAAGAGAACAGCATGAGAAAAACTTGTCTCCCTGATTCAACTATCTCCAACTGGGTCCCTCCCATGATACACGGGGGTTATGGGAGCTACAATTCAAGATGAGATTTGGGTGGGGACACAGTCAAACCCTATCACTACCTTTACAAGAACTACATCATTGATGGAAACCTGACCCTGCCAAGGGTTCACTCCAGCAAAATGTTTAAATGCATGTTTGTCCTCTTCTGGCTCTGTTCAGCATGATGGGGAGTGTAGCCATGTGACAGTTAAAACATTTAAAAATATTTTACATTTCAACAGAACTTTCTTATCTGCAGAACTCAAAGGGCTGAGCCAGCTGCAACTCTCCCAACTGCTGTTTACCACAGACACAGATGAGGAATGTCCTTGTTCTCTGAGAAGAGGCTGGCTGAGAGGCAATCCATGTGGAGTGGCAACACCGGGGTCAGATGGCAGGCCAGGCCTGCAGATATCAACACACAGCCTCCACCACTGGCTGCCGGTGCAACCCAAGCAGTGGGCAGGGCTCCACCTGCACCCACTGCTGTCCACAGATCCATTGGGAAAAAGAATCATTTTGAGCCAATATCAACGTACTCTTCTGGGAACTTTTACTATTCATTCCTTTTGCTATTTTTAGGGGAAGCATGCCTGTTAAAAATAAGTGTTTTCTCTCCAAAATTCCTCCATATTTTCATATTATGAGTGCCCTGTAACATTTGCAGAGATAAGCAAGGAGGGAAGGGGGCAAGGAAAATGCAGCTATCTTCTTAGAGATTTTCTGTTTCAAAAGAGCTAAAGCACATGCATGGAAGATTCATTTGCATTTCAATAAACATTTTCTCTCTGGAGTTGCTTCAATTTTCCTCTTGCTCCTTGCTAAAAAGACAACCTCCTCGTCAGGCTGTGACATCACTGTTTAATGCAGGCAACCATGCCACACTCTGTGCCTGCTGGGTAATATAAACTTTAAGCTAACCAGCCTGGCTTTGGGACTGTGCTGGAGAAGTGATTCAGAGAGAGTATGAAGGTTGGTGTGACCTGTCTGGAATCCCTTTTGATTTACCACTACAGTGACAAACTACTGGGCAGGCAATAAATGTGTAAAGTGGGGAAGAATTTGCCTCAGATAGTAGAAAATCCAATAATCTTGGGACTATTATAAATATCCTTGCAAAAGCAAAAGGACTTGGACCTCTCTGCTCTTCATGCTATATCTGGCAAGCTTCCTGTCTTCCTTTCCCCCATGATGGCCTTGTTTTTTGAATGAATGAATGAATCCATTTCTTGACTATCTTCCACCAGGTCTTCACTCACTAGGCACTCAGAATAAGGAATAGAAACAGTGCCCTTTATCTCAAGGCTCTATGACCTAGTTTGGAAGCTTACTAGAATCAGCATAAGAGTGATATAATAGCAAAAGATGAAGAGTCCATTGTGAGAAAAAGGAGGGGGAATTAATGCAACCTAAGAGTTACCTACTTGAATTTTCGTATTTATTTTTGTCCATTTTTAAACATGATGGGGTGTGAGATGAGAAACACAAGAGCAAACTGAATTAGTCAATGATAAATTTGTTTTAAAACCTCCATAGGCTGGGCACAGTGGATCACTCCTGAAATCCCAGCACTTTGGGAGGCCGAGGCGGGCAGATTGCTTGAGGTCAGGAGTGTGAGACCAGCCTGGCCAACATGGTGAAACCTTGAAACCTTGTCTCTACTAAAAATACAAAAATTAGCTGGATGTGGTGGCGGTCTCCTGTAATCCCAGCTACTTGGGAGGCTGAGACAGGAGAATCACTTGAACCCAGGAGGCAGAAATTGCAGTGAGCAGAGACCCCACCATTGCACTCCAGCCTGGACAAGAAGAACAAAACTTTGTCTCAAAAAAACAAAAGAAAACAAAAAAAAACCTCTGTAGCAATACACCCGTAAGGGGAAGAAAAACAATACTTAGTACATTCTAGACACCATGCCAAGTAAAGAGATACACGATGAAGTTTACCTCCTGAGCACAGCCGGACAAAGTACTGCGTGATTTCCACTTTACAGACAGAGAAACAGAAACTAAGTCACGTGCTGAAGGTTGCATTAGGCAGTGGAGCCATAGAATGTAAACCTTGGTTTGCCTGTACATGACCGGAATTATTCCCACAACCGTATGCTGCCTTCTAAATAAAAATATGGTTATTGTTGTTGATGAGTGCAGACTGTGGGAAGCTGTTGAAATTTCATAGTTATCCAGAACGGTCAGTAAGTTAGGACTGACTGACATACCACATGTTCTCAACAGCATAGGTTATGCTGTTCAGAGATTTGCAAACTTTTCTTCTTCCTTAAAGACGGTTTATCATACTCATGTCATTGACTTATAGCCAGTACAGATCTCTTTGGCCCTCAAAGCCAAGCAGATGAGATGAGGTGACAGGCAATGTGGAGGGAAACAAAGATGGCCAATGGAGTTTCCATCCATTGTCATAACTGGGCCAATGCAGCCATGCGATGAAGAGCAGTGGACGATGAGAAATAAAACCAAGGATTTTGTCATGTTAAGTCACAGAAACATTTTTTCTTTCTTTCCTTTGTTCTTTTTTTGAAAATAGTATGAGAATGCTAACAAGGTGCACAGATTTATGTGTCAAATTTCATTTTAATGTCCATCCATCCATCCAACAAATATTTACTGAGTGCCTACATGCTGGTCTTAGAAATTCAGAGATACAAGAAATGATTTCTGTCCTCAAGAAACTCACAAGACTACAGAGTAGGACCACTGTGCAAACAAGCCATTACAGAATCAGACCATTATTGAAGAAGATAAAGATTCCAAAGGAAGGGCAGAGCAAAGATCCAAATCTCACCTGGTGGTGGGAGGAGGGGAAGGGGATATTGGAGAAGGCTCACAAGGAGGGCATAACAATTGGGAAAGTCTTGATGCATGATTAAGAGATTTGAGTAGAGAAGGGAGTAGTGCTTGGGGGAAGGATCCCAGACAGCAGGAACAACAGCATGAAAAAGGCAGAGGAGAAGGAGAATAATGTTTTCACAGCATTGCAAAACTGACTGAAGCCAAGCCTTTACTCAACATCCAATATTGTCAAAACATTATTAGAGGCTCACAGATGCAAAGATAGGACAGGGTTTTCATCCTTGGTGTGTTTAATATATCACTGGTGAGACAGATATATACATAATTAAAGACATAAGGAATAGTGTTAAGTAGGACTGGATGTAGCACACTGAGAGTGCAGAAGAAAGGGGAATTCATTAAGGGATTGGGAAAGGCTTTTTGGAGGAGATGACATTTAAAATGGGGCTTGAACCATGTGCCAGCTTTTGTCAACAGGTAGTATTAGATGAAGGCATTGCAGGTAGCAGGAGGACACACAAGGACAGGAAGGTGTGACCTCCTCCAGGAATGGAGACTGTTTCATGTAGAGAAAGAATAAAAATGAATGGTGCTGGCCATGTGAATTTCATCTCCTCCTTCAGTCTCTCCTTCATTGACGGTCCCTAGTGAGTCTTGTTTGCTTGGTAAGGTGACAGGGAGGGCCTCACAATGAAATATAATTCTTGGAAAATTAATTGCCAAAATAAAACAGAATTATTTTAAAATTTGGTAATTATCTGCCCCAATAAAAGCCTACACGAAACATAAAAAAGACATTATTAGATATTGATCAGGGACTTCCCAGACCTCTTTCATCATTTCAACAATGTTTTTGAAGGATTTTAAAGATATATATCAGGGCAATTAAAATTTACTTATTCCAAAGTCATTTAGGAAGCATAGTTGGAACAAAGTCCAAGTAGAGATGGTTAAAACAAGCGAATTTAATATTTGCATCAGTGCCTTGTGAGGACAGATATCTCCTCCAACGTTTATAAAATTTACTTGTTAATTCTTATACTTAATATTTTAAAAGATAGAAACATTTTCAAAGAGGCATAAGTCCTGCAAATTGCAACCACTCTTTTAATATTCAAAGAGGAAAATCTCAAGGGCTCCAGTGCAGTTTGCAGCATAATCCAGATTGGAAAATAATTTCTTTTGTCATAATTGATAGCACCATAAGCCATAAGCTGACAATAATACTAGCTATTAAAAATACTCAAGACACTTAGGGTATTTAATTACTTAGAAAAAATTTCACCATGTCAGTGCCAATCACACAATGCAGAACAATTGCACATATTTCTAGGACATATTTTATTTTCTTATGATTATATAGTGGTTAACAGAATCTTATATTAAAAGCTCTCTTCTGGGTTTTTCTAAAACAAAGAACAAAACCAACAATAACATTGAATCACAGAGGAAGAAATATTAATTAAACAAATGTGACAACTGGATAGTGATTGAACAGAAAATGTGGTCTGTACAGGGCTCCTCTGATTGGGGATCTACTGGAGCTCTGATTCATTGACTTTTGTAATGAGATTTCTACTTTGCCAGTCAGGGTGAGGTGGAAAAGTTTGGTAGGAAACTGACATTTTATTTCAGTCCACATAGGAATCCACTCTTCATGGTCTAGAAGAGAGTTCTGCATTTGGTGAATACATTTGGTCTAAAAAGAGTAGAAAACTTAGTCCTTTGCCAACAGTTATTGCCTTGCCCTGAGTCAGATTTCATGATTTAGGCACCTGTGGCTAATGACTTGTGCTCCTCATACACTTAGAATAGCCTGTCCTTTAGTAAGCACCCACATCTAAAACATGATGTTTCATGCTACCAATGGGTGCCCTCCAAAATAAATTAGATAACAGGACTTGTCTCTACATAGGTGTTTCTTTACAATGTTTCCTTTTCATTCATGTCTCAAAAAAAGAATGTGCAACTCATTTACTCATGAGAGCTGTGATCTTCCAGTAGATACTGTATGGACTAGCTCACAGTTCCACACTCTGATTATCCCACTATGTGACCATTTATTTCCCCACTGTTCATGAATGAGTGAATGAATGAATGAATGGATGGATGGATAAGTGAATGAGTGGGTTCATGTAGGAATTATTAATAAATGACATGTTTGTTGGTGAGGATAAGCATGAGCTTGGAGCAAGCTGAGGGTACTTCAGCACAACTTGGGATACAGAAACCAAAAGGACCCATGAATTTTTTTAAACACATGCCCTTTAGTAAGAATTGTCAAGGATGCTCACCTGGGGGCATTAAAGTGTATGCACAAAAGACAGCGGGGTGGGTGCTGTTTTATTTCCTGTACCAAAGAGACACTGGCAGCAATGTTCACAATATGAAATGATGCTCCACTCTGTCCACATCAGTATCCCCAATTGAAGTGAGTATTTCTCAAGATTCTTTTTTGATGAACTATTCATCCCCCGAACTCAAGGGGAGATATATATCCATATATAATAACCTTATGATTTTTCTTTTCTTCTGTCAAAGAGGTACAATTTTAACTATCACTGAACCTTGTAAATATAATGCTTGTTCTTCAGGACCTCAGAAATTCTACTTAACCCCTATTCAGATGTGGAATTTAGTGCAGCTGCAACAAGTAAGATTTTGATGAGAAGGACCAAACGGGGCTGACAATGCTTGATTCATGTTAACTTGAGCAGAGCACAGATCCTACAACATGTTCAAATCATCTGCGACTCCGTGTCACATTGAAAGGTGAGTTCAGAATTTTTCAGGTGACCGTTGGGATCCTGTGCCTGCCAAGGAAGAATATGGTTTTAGCGCAGTCACCTTTGCTGGAAAGTCCCCATTTTGAGGTATGGAAGTGATGACATATCAGAGTTTGAAAAGCATTGTATTCTCTAATTTTTGAATGATGGCTACCAGGCTCTTTCCTCATCTCCTGTCACTAGAGCCAGGGCTGACGTGAAAAGTTTCCCCTGCCTCTGAGCAAGACAGAACCTCAAATACAATGGCTGCAAGATGTAATTCTGTCTGGGAGGCTAAGGAAGACAGTATAGTGCAGAGCAAATTGCAGTGGCCTGAGTTCTAGGATCTAGAGAGATGGAGGTTCTAGTTCTAATCTTGTTACTAGATAAATATGTTGCCTTTAGCTGAATGTCTCTGTTCCTGGGAGTCTGGGACACTAAGGTATGTTTTGTGGGGGACATAGTAAATCCCTTCAGGATGTAGATTGCAAAATTTTTGCGGATTTTACTCCAACATTTTTAGCTTTCCCTTAATAATGTACCAGAGTCGATTACTCACATGATGTAATGGAAAACAAGTCTAGCTGGGTTGGAAGACTGGTCACTAATGCAAACACAATTACCTAAGAGCTGTGTAACCATGAGATTTCTCTGAATTCAAGGTCCCTCATATATATAATTACCATGAAATCTAAATATCTAAAGTACTTTCTACCTGGAAAATCTGACTTGCTGGTCTTATTTATGTGTTTCATTCACATAATCCCTAGGAGGAGACACGTTTAAAAACTTGTGTCTTAATAGGAAAATAGTTTTTCTTTCTGTTAATCCTAATAATTTCATTATCACACTTGCAAATGTCTCATAATTCTAGGTTTTCAGAACTTGGTGAACCCCTCCCCTTCATAATCTCTCTTACAGATCATCTTCACATGGAAGGTCTCATTGACAGTGGAAATACTTATATTATTGACCCTGTGATGTTAGGGTAAAATTCGTAAGCAATAAGGATTTCCATGTTCTCAGAAATCAAAGAGAAACTGACTATTGGGCATCCATGGGAGGGATTCTTGCTAGTCGACTTGGATACGAATTCTATGTTTGTGTGTGGAGATGGTTGGGGAAATTGAAGATGCCATGTATTTCCATAGTATTTTCCCCATTTCATTGCACAATGCAGTCAACACACAATTATTGTGATGTAGCTCACTGGCTTCTTCTGAAATGCTATATTCTGCTCTAGCACAGAGCATTAACATAACAGAAATGTGAATCTGATTTTATTGCTGAACTCCAGGCTATTTTACAAGTAGAGAGAAAAATGTTAATATATGCAGCAGAAGGTATTTTAAATAAATATCTGTCATATATAGTTAAACTCGTGTTAATTATGGCTCAGTCAGAAGAGAACAGAGAGGAAGGTATTTATTGTGGGTTGAAAAGCCAAATATTAGCTTTGTTACAAAGTAAGTCAAAGGAAGTAGCAATTACATATTGTTTTGATCATGCAGAGAATTCTTTAAAACAGATAATTTCTTGTGTATATATTATTGATCAGAAGGGAATAATTCAAATAAAAACCTTTGACTAAATGGCTATTAAAATGGCATTTTGGAAGAGTGCAAAATTCATTCCTTAAGTTATTTGATATATTTCTTAAGGGAAAAATGTTTTTGCCCAATAATCTTTTCTTCATGATATTTATCACATATATTTCTGTTTAGATAGAACCAAATGGGTTCAGGGAAAGAAGGAAAGACTTTTGTAAATGGGTAACAGGCATTCTTTAGAAAACATGAGTTGTCAGTAATTACAGTATCACAGTTGCCACAGCAAGCACTAAGGAAGTGGCATTTGGAGGTCACAGAAACAGTGTCTCTTTAATAATGGAGTGACTACCTCGTTTTGGAGAGAATTTGAAATAATGCCTAAAAACCTTTTCATAGGCATGGAGGATCACTTCCCTCACAGCCATTATTTTAAATTCTGCTGATTATTTAGAGACAACTCGAACATGCTTATTTTTGATGTTGTTAATTGAGGAGAGCTGATGGAAAAAGTAAAGAAACATGTATCTATATACTTGAATTTACATACATTCATTCCCTTTCTACACATATTTTTTAAACACAAAGATTTTATATAACATTTGGGGCTTAATTAAAGATAGCCACCCCCTACCCAAGAGGCATAGAATTAATCTAGAGTTAAAGTCATAAAACATGAAAGACAAATTCAAGGAAGTAAGCCTACAATGAGATATGATCAGAAAGTGGAACGACCTTCTAGAAAAATAATTGATAAACTGGTACATGGAATCTTTCCACGGAAAAAGGAAAGTGGGCTTGGAACAATTTATCTGATATGTTCAAGAACTGGACTTTAATAGGGATTTCTTTTTGCAGGAAGTGAGATGATTTTTAAATTATTTACATGTAAGTTGTTAAAAATTTACAGGATAATAAATGAATTAAAGAGCTAATTTCTTAGGGGGCAACTGGACAAATGATGTGCTAACTCAGTCATGGGCTGAATCATCCCTGCTTCCAGGGATGCAGTAGAATTATCTGTCCCTGCCCCTTGAGTGTGAGGGTAGCACTGTCACTTGCTTTGAGAAATGAAATGTAAGCAGAGGTGATGCATAGCACTTGTGGGATTTAATTGCTGGTTTGCCACCCTTTGTCCATCTCTTCTGCTGTGTGGCCTCCAGGGAGTCTGTGCTATATGGGTCATGTAACCTGGAGGGCTGAGCCAAAACAGGGAGGACTGCTGCCCCGCAGAATCACCTTGACCCACAGCAGACTTTGGCTGGTAAGAAATGAACTTCTGGCCATCCTGGGGAACATGGGGAAACCCCGTCTCTACTAAATATACAAAAGATTAGCCAGGCATGGTGGCACATGCCTGTAGTCCCAGCTACTCGGGAGGCTGAGACAGGAGAATCGCTTGAACCCGGGAGGTGGAGGTTGCAGTGAGCCGAGATCACACCACTGCACTCCAGCCTGGGTGACAGAGTGAGACTCCATTTAAAAAAAAAAAAAAGAAAAGAAAAGAAATGAACTTCTATTGTGTTAAACCTCTAAGAATTTGGGGATGTTTAGCATTATTGCATAACCTAGCTTACCCTGATTAGAAAGCAAAATACAAAGGAATATTTGCACTGTACACCAAAATATATACAATATTTATTTTCCAATTGTATATAAGCTAATTTAGATAAAGGCATATCTGCAGCTGATGTGTTAGCTACTTGCAAAACATGAGAATCAGCTGAAACACTACTAAAAGTGGTGTAAGATGCCTAGTGGGAAATTAATATACAAAATAAACTTCCTATATAAAACCGACAATTAGTATAAAGGTGTGATAGAAGAGAAGGGCCTATTTCTAGGCATACCCCCAATTTAGAATATACCTAGGAAAAATATTAATGAGATATATGCATAATATATATAAAGACAATTTTAAAGCATGAATAAGTAACTCAAAGAAAACTTAAAGAAATAAAAAATGTACTATGTTCATGGATAGAAAAACATAGCATCATATAGATTTAAGAATCTTACATGAATTTGTAAATTTCATGTAACTCAATTAAAGTATCAAGACAAGCTTATTCTAGAGCATATATAGTAAAGTAAAAAGTAAGAATTCCAGGAAAATCTAGGAAAGCAGACTGCTTGGAAACAAGTAAGCTCTAACACTTAATAAAATAACTATAACAATTTAAAATAAGTAATTCCAGTGGTTGAATAGGCAGGATATAATTAAACAGGTTAGAAATTTAGACACAAACCCAAATACATACAAAGATTTAATATATGACAAAATGGTATCTTGGTCATATATTAAAATATATGTATTAATTTGAAAAGATATAATATTCATTAAATAATAATTATCACAAAAAATATATCAGTACCTCACTCATTACAGGAATATAAACGGTAGAAGGGTCAAATTTTTGAAGGTTAAAGTAAAATCATTAAAATACTATAACAGACATACTCAATAATCTCAAAGTACAAAAGGTCTTTCTAAGGTGATACAAAGCTCAGAAGATTTAAAAGATATTTTACTCACATAAAAATATTCATTTTCTATGTGACAAAAAAGTGACAAAATAAAAAAGTCGATGACAAACTATAAGAATATTTGCAACTCATGTCAGTTACATTTAATATAAAAATCTTTATAAATCAATATAAACACCAACAATCCAATAGGCACATGAGCAATGGATACAAACAGTTGGAAATGGAAACACCCAAAAAGATACCAGGCAAGAGAAAGAGAAATGCAAACAAACACCATACTGAGATATTACTCCCAGAGACTAGCAGAGATCAGAACCATAGCCTGTAAGCAGTGTTGATGAGAATATAGGGAAATAAGGACTTGCTTGCATTTCTGATGGTGCAACTGATGAAATCTTTGTGGGGACAATCTGGCAATGTCCATGTTTAAAAAAGTGTCCATATTATTCAAACTATTAGTTTAACTTTTATAAATTTGTCTTACAGATACACGCACAGGACGGTGAAATGAGTTAGGTCTAAGCATAGCCCAAAAGCCCATTTCCATAATCATGAATAATAATGATGATGGTAATGATCACAGTAATAACATTGAAAAATAACTTCAATGCCCATCAAGAGAATACTGGTTTAAGGAAAGGTATGGACATTCATACAATGGAATTCTATGCAGCCTTTATAAAAAATGAGGCATCTCTGTATTTACTGATATGAAGTGAGCTACAAGATGTAACATTAACTGTGAAATGTAAAGCCCAGATTCAGAACAGTTGGCATCTTATGCAAATATTGATATACATAATCGTAGCTGTGTGTGTGCACAGTTATTTTGGAAATTTATCCTAGAGCCTTGGTGATCACCATTGCCTCCAGGGATAGGAATTGGAATACTAGGTTCAGAGAAAAGAAGAGGACCTACCTTTCTACCTTCTGAATTTTATACTACGTGTTTTTATCATCTACTAAAATAACTTAAATATTTTCTAAAAGAAAGACTAGCGAACACCGACAAACAAAAAGAAGATTTTGAGATGTTATGAAGAGGGCTGGTTTCCTAAGTGTGTTAACAATTCTAACAGAATTCTAACAAAAAAATTGGACCTTGAGGGTTTCTTGTTCACAATGATCTAATTGTCAGATGACAGAGCATTCCTCTGCCTTCACCTTTCCCAGTAGGTCTAGATTATCTCCTTTTTTATGTAGAAGCTTATACGTGTGTGTGTGTGTGTGCGTGTGTCTGTTTGTGTGTGTATGAAATTAGAAATGGAGTTATGCTTGCACAATAATGACAACATGAGGCTTCTAGAAATAGTCAGTTGTGAACGTCAAAGGAATCACTGCGTGACTCAAGTGATTATGTATGAGGTGAGGCAATGGATTTAAAACCCATGCCACCCTTCTGGCTCCCCAACTCTTTGCATCTGTCTCTATGAGGGATTCCTTACTCCAGTGTGTGGAAGTTTTAGATCAGATTTAAATCTAGAAATGAATTCAGAAATCACAGCTTCTCTAGTTTTAGTGATGAGACTATAGCCTAAAGCATTTTGGCATTTGAAAACAAAGTGGAAGAGGAGGCTTGGGATGAGGATGGGTCACTTTGAGGGAGCAAAGAGAGCAAATAGGGACACCTGCTGTGTGCTGGACATTGGGCTAAGCCTTTCACAGGCCTCTCGTTTATTTTTCACAACACTAATTAGTATGTATTATTCATATCACTTTACGCTTGAAGGAACTGCAACTCCAAAAAATGTAGCCTTGCAGCTGATTAGAGGTGAACCAAGTTCCCAGCCTACCTCTTGTAAATTGCCCTCCCTGCACCAGAGGTTTGGTCATTAACTGGTATCTCTGCTCAATACTTTTCCCATTTTCTTATCTTACATTTTTTAGAACCTTATTTTTCCATTGTGAGTAGAATCTCATGTATGCTAGGGAAATTTTTCCTGCTAAGAACTCAGACAAGGAGCTCAAAGTCAAATGCAGACGCTCTTCCAAAGAAGAAAACGTCCAGTGGATGGTCCACTAAAATCACTGCTCGTTCACATTTTAGGAATTAACAGCTTCCCCATCTTTCCCTCACATACAGTAAGGTTTTATGTTTCCTATTTCTTAAGCACCGGAAGTAGTGTTACTGTCAAGTTTTAAGTCATTTCTCAACAGAATGGGTGGTGGTGGGATGAAACGTTCTTTATCCCTGCTCCTTGAGAACTTCTGGAATTTTCTCAAGCTAATATTTTTCAAACTGTCATGACCTCTAGAGAAAGCTTTGAAGTGTGGTTTCTGGGTTGGAGACGGAAGGTTAGTTCCAAGCCCTTCAGGTCACCTCCATGCCTGCACAGAAGAGTTTCAGGTCCAAATGACAATTTCCAAATACATGTGCATGGTTTTGAACTAGCGTTTTCTTTAGCCCTGGTTTAGTTTGTTCAGACTCACCGTGAGTTTGGCTTTGTTTCTAATGAGGAAAGGTGTCTCTGTTAATTCTAAAGTCTTCCATTTAGAAACAGAGTTCCAAATGTCAGGCTGAGTCTGGAAGTGATTACTCATAGGAATAAAACATGATCAGTACGTTTGAATGAATGTTCACAGCTGTGTTTTTTATTAAAGAAATTCAGTGAGAAGAGTTTTAACGTCGCACTATAGTTGAGAATCTTAAGGTGTATAACATTGGCAATTCCAAATTAGAGCTCCCCTGGCAACTGTCACTCTATGACATCACATTTTATCTAATGAGGCATAAAAATGTACATTGTGCACTCCGCAGCTCCTTAATGTGCATGGGGAATGAGAGTCAAGGGGAGATTGGGAGCCATCTCTTTGAATTCTTAGCTGTAATGTTTCACCTATGCAGTTTTCTTTATTTGCAGCTATATTTTCCACTTCTCATAATTCAGTAATTCCAAGGCATTGCAGACCCTATAAATGCCATGCAGATATTGGTTAATTCCTCCTCTTATTCCATCCATCCCACTGCCATTAATTTCTCTTCCAATCTCTAAGATCTTCTGGGGCTCTTAATAGTATCTATGTTTATGCTTGTCCAAAATGCACTCATTTTATGAGGTGTTGGTTTAGTGGCTACAAAACGTTTTACAGCATCTAGTGACAATCTCTACCCAGTGGGTCTGGTTTCAACTGTAGTCACTAGAGTCCTATTAATCTAATGAGGAAAGGTGCTTCATGATTTCAGCCTCTTTCTGCAGTGAGGGGAGTAGAGATAGAGATTAGATAGAGATCCCAGTGGTCTCTGATCCAGATGGTGGGTGTAAGGATTATCTCTCTGCTCAGACGACACAGCATTCCTTGCCTAAGACTTAGCACAACCCCCAATGAAGAAAAGAAAAAGTCAGTAAAGATTGTGGACTGTTGGACGGTCTTCACAGTTGCCAACTCTGAATTTCAGAAAGTAGCTCTGGTGCTTGCAGATGCCCTTCCATTCAAAATGTGAACTGAACAAACATTAATTCCTTAATCCCTTCCCCCAGACAAAGCCACACAGATGGGCTGATTAAAATCATAGGTCTGTGTTAAAGGAAAATTATTGCATTAGAGGAAGCATTCGGGGAAAGTGGGCGATGGGTTGAGAAAAAAATAACAAACAAAAGCAGATGGAGTGTCTTGCTTGGCAAGATATTACTCCATTATTCTTTTATTATCTAACTTCTGAAGTGGGAGAACGCAGAATAATAGGAGGTACAAATTTTTCCATAATAAAACATCAGGTAAAACTCCTTTAGGAGCAAGACATCTAATAGGCTATTGTTTAATAGCTTCACAAAAGCAAGCTTTTTTTTTTTTTTCTTTTTTTTTTTTTTTGGTCTTCAGCCGTGCTTTGCAATGGTTTGCCTAGGCAAAAACTACTACATAACATGACATCACGTGCAATGTGTCCAGATTCCTAAAACAAATGCCTCCATTAGTATTTTGAAATGGAGTACACTGGGCACTCCAACATCCTCACCGGAAAACAGTTCACTGGAAGAGTTCTGCTATCTTTAAGCACACTGGGTCTTTTGTCAGAGAGATTGTTATTCCTGAAGTATCTCAGTTTATGTAACCCAAAAAGAATGTAGCTCAAGTAATAATGATTTTGCAGTTTATGTTGAAGAAAGCATGATAGACTTTATCTAAGATGATATAAAGGGAGGCTTAAAAAAATTTAAGCAAGTGAAAATTTTAAAAAGAGGTTAAAAATAGTTTGCAAATTTTCTATAGAATATAAGACCCCAACACGACAAAGCAAATACAACCACTCATCCAGTAAGCTGGGCTTCAAGAATAGGGGTGCATTTTGTGAGCACAATTTTCTTCCAAACTATGGGAAAAAAATCTTAACTTGAAGCTATTTTCAGGGGATAGGAAAATGAACCTGGGAAAGAGGACACACAAGTACAGCAAGGAGTGTTCAGGGCGGAGGCCCAAAGTTACAGTGCAGAAGTTTGGGGCAATTCCTCACTTTATACTCAGGATGAAGTTTTACCTGATGTTTTATTATGGAAAAATCTGTACCTCCTAGAAGTACAGCACCAAGGAGTATTCAGGGCAGAGGCCCAAAGTTAGGGCACAGAAGTTTGGGAATCTCCTGGTTCAGGAACAAGGAGATTCTACATGAATGAACTCTCTAGGGAGAGTGGAATACCCTGTCTTTCTATCACAGTCTATTAATGCAATTGGATTAACAATGTGGGTCCTTTTCTGCTCTTCAGAAGCTTTGAGTTGTTAAAATTAGAAAGTACCCCTTATTTATAGTCAGGATCCTTTTCTTTCTAGCCACAAATTGATGGGAAGGCGGCCTGATAAACAGGAAAGTCTTTTTTTAATTTATTTTTATTTTTTTAAATTTTTAAATTATACTTTAAGTTCTAGGGTACATGTGCACAATGTGCAGGTTTGTTACATATGTATACATGTGCCATGTTGGTGTGCTGCATTTATTGCGGCACTATTCACAATAGCAAAGACTTGGAACCAACCCAAATGTCCATCAATGATAGACTGGATTAAGAAAATGTGGCACATATACACCATGGAATACTATGCAGCCATAAAAATGGATGAGGTCACTTCCTTTGTAGGGACATGGATGAAGCAGGAAAGTCTTATAGTCAGACACATAAGTATACTTGCAGCCACTTTTGACCCCGTGACAGCAGATAAGCTCCTTAATGTTTCATGGAATTGATTCACTCATCCCCCAAGTGGAGATCCTGCTCCCCACTTCATACATTTTGGGGGAGAATTGGGGAAACACATACACAGGAAGGATCTAGTAGCATGGTTGGCATATGGTAGGTGTTCCATAAATGAGTTCTTTCTCTCCCTTCCTTCTGTCTCCTTTTTCTGGAATAGGAGAAGCTTAGTTTGTATGATAATAAAATATTTGGTTCTAGAGACATGAGGATACTGATAACATTTTTTTGACTTTGCCTTTCAGGGTTTACTGTTTTTAAGGTTAGATAAGAATTAAGCATCTGGGCTGGGCATGGTGGCTCATGGCTGTAATCTCAGCACTTTGGGAGCCCAAGGCAGGGGGGATTACCTGAGGCCAGGAGTTTGAGACCAGCTTGGCCAACACGGCAAAACCCTGTCTCTACTAAAAATACAAAAATGAGCTAGGCGTGGTGGCGGGCACCTGTAATCCCAGCTACTTGGGAGGCTGAGGCAGGAGAATTGCTTGAACCCAGGAGGCAGAGGCTGCAGTGAGCTGAGATCGTGCCACTGCACTCCAGCCTGGGTGACAGAGCGAGACTCTATCTCAAAATAAAATAAAATAATTATAAAGAATTAGGCATCTGCATGGTTCCAAATAATATGTTAAACACAAACCAAATGTGCATGTTTCTCCTCCCATGGAGCTTATCTTCTGGTAGAAAGTGAAAAACAGTTTCATTTTTAAGAGGCTATGTAGAAAGTTTAATGAAAAGTGTAGAAGCTTCAGTGTTCAATGTGCTCAAAAGAGCCAGGAGGGGCTGCTGGGTTCAAGGTGGTGTCTTAAGTTGACCCCATAGGTTCTTTCCCTCCTCATGTTGTGCAGTTCCCTTTGGCATTCTACCCAAGAGCCACCATCCCCTAAGATCATCAACTGCCTGGTGGCCAGTGGTGAAGCTCAAATGAGCAAACATCTGTGAAAGAGCTTCAGTGTCTGTAAGGTGCTGGAAAGAAATGGGACTTCTAATTTTTAGGGCTTTGCGTCAGCCCTCTGCATTCTAGAGAGGTGAACTCCTGAAGTCTTTCTCCTTGCCCTGATCTCAGATGTAAACTGATCCGGTACAGAAGGACTCCAGGAAGCAGTTCTGAGACCATTTGCATGTTTAATATTAGCCGACAAGCAGCTAAAAATGTCATTAACATTGAAACATAGCCACCTTAATTCTAATCATTCCTAGAGAGCCAAAAATTCTACACTTTACCCCTTCCCTCTTGAAGGTATATCTGTTTATTCAGAGGTCTTCTTGGGAAGTTTGAGGGTCTGAGATATAAACTCCTGTGAACCTCTCTGACGTTTGTTCACCTCCTTTTAGGAATAAATACAATGAGGGTATTTTGGAGGGCTACACAATGCGAGAGCCTCACTACACATTTTTAATCACGTGGCCCAGGAACTTTGATTTCTCTGACAAATTTCTTCTTTCGTTACAGCAGCCACTTAGCAGTGGCTTCTTAAGTGCCAGAGACCTAGAGTTTGGAATTGGAGACATTCTCCGACAATGTGTCCTTATTTCACAAAGCCTCATGGCCCGCCTTGCGCTAGGATTTAAGGAATGCTGGAAACAAAAATCCTCTGAGCCCTGTAACACTTGAAATGTTGTCAGTGTTGCTAAGGTGCTAGCAGAGAAAAATAATCAGCATCTTAAAATTCTATTGTAAACACGTGATTAAGGATTCATTTTCAGGATTTGACGACTCCAAAATTAATACACAGAAGCAAGCACGTTGAATAAGGTGTCAATGAAGTACACCAAATAGACAATAAACTGCTGCCTGTGATCAGGGCCAGCCAGCTGAAGAATAATTCTGTTTCAACTCAATAATATAGGAACGCTTAAAAGTATTAAATATCAAGCTCTAAAATGAGGGGAAAAATTAGAATAAAAATCTATAGCAAAAAGACTAGAGCCTAGAGGGAGAATTCAAGCCTGCTTATTTGTAATCTTTTTTTTTTCTTTCCCTATGAAAGCTTTATCAGTAGCTGATAGGTTTCACATGCATGAAACTGTTAATCACGTTTAGGAAATTTACATGCTGTTAACTGCATATGAAACTCGTTTAGTACAGGCAGATTTACTACCCTAGATCAATCTTATCTCATTTACTCCATACCTAGCACTAACACAAATTCATTCTAACATGAATACATGGGGAGATCTTGACATGAAAATAACCCTTTCCTTTCGAAGGAATGAGGACCCTGGTGTAGATCCCCAGCTGTTTGGAAAATGTGTGATTCTGCAGCTCCCAACCTGCCATGTACTAAAAATCAGTAAAGCAACGAATGTACTTCACCCTTGGATGTAGGCACTCAAGAATATCAACTTAATGAAATTAAGTTCAAGGTGAAAAAAAGCCACATTAGCTTTTTATTTTGGTTCAAGTTGGGAGCAAATCCCAAAACATATTTCTCTTTCTAGGTCAAAGCAGAATTCTTCACATTGCAAGTCCGCAAGTGGCAGGTGAAACCGGCTGTAGGGTTGTTATACTCCACTGCACTGCACCAGGTTTGACTTTCGCAGACAACTTGGTATTTTTAGAAGAAAAAAAAAAAAAGAATCACATGAAATAGATACAATGACCACAGCATTCAAAGAAACATACTGAAGATAATGAAGCAATCGTGCTGGTGCATAGAGGCCCAAACACTCAGATCGACCCTGTTCCTCTGGGGCTTCAGATCACGGGACGGGGCCCTTGTGCCCTTTGCCCCTCTTCAATGAGGGATGGATAAGAAGCGTGAATGGAGAGCTGGATTGAAGGGGAAGGATGCAGTGAAGAAAGAGAAGTTGAAGGAAGCTGGCCCTACAAGGGTCCTTTCTAAACTCAGCCTGAGTTGTAAATGATCAAGTAAGAAGTTTTCACTTTGGCCCTGAGGCTATTTCATTATGGGGAAAACCTTGCTGTTCAGGGCTTCGAGATTTGAAGTTTTGAAACTTCTCTGCATTCCCAGCTGATCCAGCAGGGCATGAGGCTTTTGTTCCACGAAAATAGAAGGCATTATTACTGTGCTTCAGAGATACGCAGTGTTGCCTTCCGTGCAAAATGGGATTAATATTAGTACCCACTAAAGTACGTTATAAAAGGTTGCCGTGAGCATCAAATGCATTAATATGTAATGGCAGCTGCCCGTAGTACAAGGTCAGTGACTGTTGCTGTTGCCGTTCTTGTGGTTATTATTGCTGTATTTCCATAGTTAGAATTGCCCTTAGATAATATAGCAAGTGGATTAAAAGCCAAATGGGGGTTATCTTTAATTTGTCTTTTCTATCAATACCATACCTACATGGTTAGGGAAAATTTCCCACCTTCCCTATGTTTTTACACAGTTCCTATCTAATTAAACTGAGAACGAGTCAGGGAGAACTTTAAGGGAAAAAGAAGTCACAAAAGGGCAGTGTGAAGACTGAGTTTTTCATTTTATTTTGCATTTAATTTTGTTGGTAAACATGAAGAAATATTCTCGCCCACTTAGGCTTGGCAGTGACAGCGGTGATAAAAGGTGTGAGCCGCGCAGCTTCGTGTGACATCTTATTTTATTGTTAACAACAAAAGTAGCAGCACGAGGACCTTTCCTCCTGCCATCTGCCTCTTTGTGTCCCTGTGAATCTGTTTCTTGTCCCCTCATTCCCTGGAGAGAGATGATTATCCATGAGTTATTTCAGCAGTGCAGAATTTCTCTCAGAAATCTTGGAACCTGGGACGACTGTCTTAATTTGTCAAATCTCAGGGAAACATGTGAATAGAGTGTGCTATTTATAGATGTTTAGATCTGTTGGGATCTGAGACTGTATCTCCCAGGGTTTTCTGCAATCAACATATATAATCGCATCAGGACTAGGTTTCTGTGCGGAAAACATGATGCTGGGCGTGGTGGCTCATGCCTGTAATGATGCAGCACTCATTTGGGCCATTTTTACAACCCATGATGCATCAATGAGCCGAATTGGCCAAATGTGATGTGAACTGTGAATAGATGAAGGGAGCTAGATTTACTAACTGCTTGTACTGAAAGCCTGAATCATTTTGACTTGTGTAGATGCAGACCAATGTTTGTTGTTGTTTTTTAAGTGACTCAGGTAATGCCATCGAAGCATGACTGTGACTTGTTAGTATGGCTCACGTGTTCTGGAACAAAGACAAAAGGCTAAAGATACTGAAAGGCATTTCTAGTTGAGGACTGTAAAAACTGATACAGACCAGATTTCTGGCATGGATTGTAGAAATTTGTACATAAGCTCAGCTATGATCCATGTCAACTGTCACTAAAGCAGAGGGGATGATAAGAATGAAGCGGAGGCCACGGAGACAGGGATCTGTTTGTCACCCTTGGGAATATTGTTCCTAGTGCACACTGCCTGGTACATCCTGTTCTTTCTCATTCCAAGCCACAGAGATAAATTTTTCAAAATTGGAAACGCAGAGACAAGAGCAGAAGAGTCAATCCACAAAGACTTGCAGAGTCCAGTTTTATCATAGTCTTATCAGATGGGCCCTCCCTTCTTGGGTGTAGGGCTGAGCACATCATCTCTGCAGTCAGACTACCTGGGTTCCGGGCCAGGCTCACCAGTTCAACTCATTGGCTGGCACTGGGCAGTTCACTTCTGCATCTCGACTTCTTGACCTGTAAGTTGGGTATAATAAACCCTATTTCGAAGATTTGCGGTAAGGATTAAATAAGATTATATAAAGCACTTAGAACAGTAAATGGCACCTTATCAATGCTCAGTGAACGTAAGCTCTTTTTAACATCCTCATCATGGTCATTATTTCAGTATGTCTTCCCCCTCCACTGTCTCTGGATCATCGTGGGTCCATCTGCTTCTTAATGCCTAGGCTCAGACATTCTTCCTGGATCCTTTCCCCTAAGTACTGGAAGCTACTAAAGCAGGTACCATGTTTCCCCATGGCAGCTCCTGCTGCAGTGGCTTTGGGGACTGCTGTAACCAGGGAAAATAGAGTGACAGTCCACTCTGCCTAAGGGAAAGAGACTTCATGCCATTCAAATACTGCCAGCATGACATAATTCCCACTGTTAAGATTAGCATTTTTGCAGAATCAGAATATAGTATGAAGAGAGGTAATTCGGAGTAAATTAAATGATAATTCTGCAATCAACTTGCCAACTGCCCTTTTACTTTTAGTAAACTATGGAGCACTTTTTGGACGCATGTTTATTACACAGATTACCCACATTCGCTGCTCTCTGAGGAATAAGAAGAGCCTCCTTTGGGAACTCTCTGCAGACAGGTTTCAAATTCTAGCAAATAGAGGCAGCTGTACTGCCATTCATGGGCATAGATTCCACAGGCTGCCTGTCCTGTGTGACTGACAGCATTTTATCCAATTTTTTTTTTTTTTTTTTTTTTTTTTTTTTTTTTTTTGAGACGGAGTCTCTCTCTGTCGCCCAGGTTGGAGTGCTGTGGCGCAATCTCGGCTCACTGCAAGCTCCGCCTCCCGGGTTCAGGCCATTCTCCTGCCTCAGCCTCCTGAGTAGCTGCTGGGACTACAGGCGCCCGCCACCACGCCCGGCTACGTTTTTTTGTATTTTTAGTAGAGATGGGGTTTCACAGTGGTCTTGATCTCCTGACCTCGTGATCCACCCACCTCGGCCTCCCAAAGTGCTGGGATTACAGGCATAAGCCACCGCGCCCGGCTTCCCTGCAATTGTATTGTTTATCACCTGCTTCCAAAGCCAGGTCCACAATCACACATCCTGTCTGCACTCCTCTCCTTCACCTCATTACTAATATTTATCTCAGTTCTTTCCCCAGTCGATGACAATAACCTCGGCTTTATTTTGTTTTATTTTTTGGACACAGGGTCTCATTCTGTCACCCAGGCTGGAGTGCAATGGTATAATCATGGCTCACAGTAGCCTCTACCTCCTGGGCTCAAGCAATCCTGCCACCTCAGTCTCCTGAGTAGCTGGGACTGTGGGTGCACACCACAGCTCCTGACCTATTTTATTTTATTACATATATATATATACACACACACACACATACGTATGTATGTATGTATGTAGTGATGGGGTCTCACTATGTTACCCAGGCTGGTCTTGAACTCCTGGGCTCAAGTGATCCACCCATCTTGGCCTCCGAAAGTTCTGAGATTACAGGCGTGAGCCACCATACCTGGCCTAACCTTGGCATCTTATAAGAATCACTCTACCCTTGCAGGTGATGAATCCTCTGCTGAGTTACATTAATGGTCCATCTCAAAACCAAAACACTCATTTGAGATCTGCTTCTAAAATTACCTCAAACCTTGAATGCACAGGCCTTGTGGTGCTTTTACCCTGGCAGCGCCTCAGAATCACCAGCAATCTTTTTACAGGGTCCCAGGGGCTCATCCCCAGTGACTGTCAGGACGAGAGGACAAGGCTTAGGTGTGGCTACTTTTGAAAACCCACACAGGTTTGACAAAGTGTTATTGGGCTGTGAATTACTTCGTTTTTCATCTTGCCAATCCAAATATTCTCAAGGCTCTATGTGAGAAACTCCTTTTAGAATTTAGGGCTGAAGGAAATATTTTTTTCTAATATGGAACGCATTTGCTTTCATCTCCTAGAGAAACTTATGCAATATACCTTATTTTTCATGATATCTGGTGGAAGGGTGCTTACATTTAAGGTTCAGCCATAGATGCCATTTTACCTCTTATGGCAAGTATCTTCTAGCCTCTGTTTTTTGATGTGAGTTTGCTATCTCTTAATAAATATATTTGTTCTAGATCTCCTTGTTTCTTCAGATTATTGGCAGAGTTGCTTCTTGTCTCTGCTCCTTCGTTTTCCCAACTCTAAGAGGAAGAGTGAAATGGATAATAACAATAATTCCTGTTTCCTGAATGTCTTATGTGCTAGGCACCATGGTAGGTGACTTATGTGGGTACCCTTCAGAAAGGGGGTAAATTTGGATTCAGCAAAGTGTAGAGCCTCATCAGTTCCTCTCAGGGATTTCTGTGCCTGCTGAGGCTCTCATGATTGTCTCAACTCTCTTTCTGTGGGTGGAGACCTATGCTACGCTTCTTTGTTCTGGATGTAAAACTCAACTGTTCTTCAAATGTGCCATAGGGAATGTTCTCAAAAAAAAGCTTCATGAACAAACTAGCTCTTCCCAAAGAATTAAGGAGGCTCTGATGTTTACACTGCACATTAAATTGCATATTAGGTTTTTTGGATCTGAATCATTCTACTGTAGCCTTTTTTTTTTTTTTTTTTTTTTGAGTCAGAGTCCCACTCTGTCAGCCAGGCTGGAATGCAATGGCGCCATCTCTGCTCACTGCAAGCTCCACCTCCTGGGTTCACGCCATTCTCCTGCCTCAGCCTCCCGAGTAGCTGGGACTACAGGCGCCCGCCACCATGCCTGGCTAATTATTATTATTATTATTTTTTATTTTTTTATTTTTAGTGGAGACGGGGTTTCACCGTGTTAGCCAGGGTAGTTTCCATCTCCTGACCTCTTGATCTGCCCGCCTCGGCCTCCCAAAGTGCTGGGATTACAGGTGTGAGCCACCGCGCTCCGCCTTTTTTTTTTTTTTTTTTTTTTTTGAGATGGGGTCTCGCTCTGTCACCCAGGCTGGAGTGCAGTGGCTCGATCTCGTCTCACTGCAAGCTCCGCCTCCCGGGTTCACGCCATTCTCCTGCCTCAGCCTCCCAAGTAGCTGGGACGCTGGGACTACCTACAGGCGCCTGCCACCACTCCCGGCTAATTTTGTTTTTGCATTTTTAGTAGAGAGGGGGTTTCACCGTGTTAGCCAGGATAGTCTCAATCTCCTGACCTCGTGATCCGCCTGCCTCGGCCTCCCAAAGTGCTGGGATAACAGGCCTGAGCCACCACGCCCTGCCTCTACTGAGCCATTCTAACAAGGGAAGGGGATTGTCTACCGGCCATTTCCCTAGGTCAGGGGTCAGCAACATTTTTCTGCATAGGGCCAGATAGGAACTATTTTACACTTCGTGGGCCATATGGTTTCTGGTAAACGTACTAATCTCTGCTTTTTTTTTTTTTTTTTTTTGAGACTGAGCCTTGCTCTGTCGCCCAAGCTGGAGTGCAGTGATGCAGTGATGCCAGCTAGGCTCACTGCAACCTCCGCCTCCTGGGTTCAAGCGATTCTCCTGCCTCAGCCTCACGTGTTCTTTTTAATTGAGGTGGCCATCCCTCTACCTCAGCCTCCTGTGTAGCTGGGATTCCAGGCATGAGCCACCACACCTGGCTGAACTCTGCTGTTGTGAAAGCAGCCTTAGATTGTATGTAAACAAATAAGTATGGCTATATTCCAATACAACTTTATTTACAAAAACAGGTAGTGGGCCAAATTCGGCCTGTGGGTCCAAGATTGGCAACCTTGCCTTAGAGAACACTATCTGATAGGAAGTATTAGAAACATTTTTTTTCTAATATGGAATTCATTTCCTTTCATCTCCTAGAGAAGCTTATGCAATATACCTTATTTTTCGTGATACTTGGCTAAAGGGTGCTTTCATGTAAGGTTCAGCCGTAGAAGCCATTTTACCTCTTAGGGCAAGTGGGTTTCTTTCTCTCTCCTTCCGTTCGTCTCTTCAACCCTGTATCCCATCCCTGTCATTACCGACAAGCCAAAACCCCCTTCTTCCTAGGTAAAGCAATTCTTTTTCTCCAGAATGTTGGCACCAAATGGTATGTAAGCCCATGGGGTCTCAATTTCTACCCCCAAACCCTTAGGAAAATGTTTTTCCAAACAAACTTCTCCTATCTTCAAGATTCTGGCACCAACTGTGTTGATAATACGACGTTTTCTGCCTCACTGAATTCCCATCAGCGCACAGCCCTGTAACTCAGTGGTCATAAATGCTACGCCTTCCAGGGCAGGCAAGGGCCAGGTGGGTAAGACCATAGGGAACATGGAAGCCTGAGGGGGGTTGAAGAGGAGCGCTCTACCCAAAGACCTCCACGTCCATCTTTGGAAACAATGGTGTGTTCGCCAACACAACAAACCTGTGGACTAAAGTCAGCCCAATGACTATGAATGTACGAGCTGTTCTGTAAAGATTTCTATGTTCTATTTCTACACATTTAAACTAAGACTCAAGGTCCAGATGGTTTTTCCATAGCCTCTAATTGGGAGAGCACTTTAACAAATACCTACTACTACCTACTACATGCCTGTAGTAATGACACAGGAGCTAAAAAGAAATTATCTAGGCAGTTAGTGAGGGTAAGAGAGTCCTTGATAAGATTTCCCTTTTAATAAAAAGCAGCCCACAAATCATTTCTTTTTCTAACAAAGAACAGCTTGAAAAATCAAGCTGCAGACATAAATAAGCAAGCTTGAAGCTTGCATAGGTAAATGCTAGCAGCTGTGCCAATAGGAAAAGGCTATCTGGCGGCCAGGCATGTTCAACATGGAAGTTCCCCCTTCCTCCTTCTTTGTTGCCACGTGTGCAGTAAAAAGGCAGGCAACATGGCGCCAGCCAGGTAGAGACCCTAACTGCATAATAAAAGTTTAGGGTGAAATGGCCAGCTTCTTCACATGCTATGCAAACAGCACACCTGGTTCAACTAATCTCTCATGCCCTGTGTAAATCAGATGCTATCTCCTCAAGCTCAGCTATAGAACCCCCTGTATTTCACCATGGAACCAGAAGACTTATTTGGAACCCCCTCTCTCTCTGCAAGAGAGAGAGCTTTTCTCTTTCTCTTGCCTATCAAACCTCTACTTTTAAACTCACTCCTTGCGTGTGTCTGTGTCTTTGATTTCCTTGGCGTGAGGCAACGACCTTCAGGTAGTTACTCCAGACAACGATGCTGCTTCAGTAGGACTTGGTCATCCTATGACAGACAAGGCGCAGTTCCTGTCCTCAGGGAACTTACAGTCTCATGAGAACAAGAGACGAATGAGAGGCCATTTCAGTGCCCCACCATAAGCGTTGCCATGAGGAATGGTCGGGGTGCTTTGAGTTGCAGTATGATCATTGAACTCAATTATATGGGCTGGAGTTGGCCTCCTGGATGACATGACTTTGATGCTCTAAAGAAAAGTGAGATTTCATCAGAAAAATTTCATACTGAAGCCAGAAGTCTGAGGATCTGGCAAGTGCAAAGGCCCTGAGGTATAAATGATCAGGGCTCTTTCAAGGAGAGGCATGGAGGATTAAGATGAAGAGGGAGAGTAGGGAAGAGGCTGGATGGGAAGAAGCAGCCTGGTCCCTGTGCACCTTGAAATGGGCTCATTCCTAAGAGGTCAGGGAGCCAAAAATTGATTTTAAGCAGGGGAGTGACGGTCTCAAATTCAGACTTTGAAAAGATCCTTCAGGCTTGGTTCCAGATACTGGATTGGAAAGAGGCAGGCTTAGAAACCAAGAGCTGTCTGTGTCGGCAATCCAGGCAAGAGATGATGGAGGGTAGCTAAGTGAAGGTCACAGCCCTGGGGGTGGAGAGAGCTGCTCAGAGTCAAGAAGTATTAAGCTGATAAGAGTTCAAGATTGCTTTGATTTAGGGAAGGAATGAGGGAAGGGAAGAAGTCAAGAGTTACGGCCGGGGGATTTTTAGAGCCTTGTGCTTTCTGGTTCCAGCATAAAAATGTTGTACCAATTAGGAAAATAAATAGGGTGTTATTGAATTGGAATGTTAATGTAAATTAGATGTGCATCCTTTCTGGCAATCCCTCCATACTCTGGTGCATGGTTACTTACTTCCAGTAAAGCTTTGTGCTTTGGTTGTCTCTGGCTTCCCTTTCCTGTACTTTCTTCTCTCCCTTTTGGACCTATTTCCCCCCCCTTTACAAAGCCTAAGGCCCTTTAGAGTCTCTGCCTTGTTCATTCTCCCCAGGAGGAAAGTCAGGGGGCTGCTGTATCCAAGGGTTCAAGCCAGGAATCTGCAGCCAGATGGTCTGGGTTAAGAGCCCAGGTTAAGCAGGGGAGTGATGATGTATTGATCCCTCACAATGTGCTAGGCACCCTCTCTAAGCCTGCCTCTTTCCAATCCAGTATCTAGAATCCAGCTTGAAGGATCCTTTCAAAGTCTAAATTTGATACTGTCATTCCTTTGCTGAACCTGAGCTGTGAACCTTAGGTTAGCATTTAATAACCATGTAGCCTTTCAAGTTACCTAACCTCTTGTGCCCAGCTGGCTTCACTTTAAAATGGGGTTCACAATGTGGTATTGTGAATATTATATGACTCACCCCAAGAAGGGTGTCTAGCCCATGGTGAGGGATCAATACATGTTAACTATTATTTTGGCATTCCACACAAGCCTGACTTTCCCTTGACCCTATTTTGCAAACTCATATTCCCAAAGTTGTCATTCCATTCTGTTACAACTCTCATTCCTTGAGATGTATCTAGCAGGGATCTGAGAAACTATTTGCTGTATGTAAAATTGTTATTAGCTGATCCAGGAATTTTTTCAATTTAGAAAGAGAATTTGGGGATTGGGTTCAGTGGCTCATGCCTGTAATCCCAGCACTTTGGGAGGCTGAGGTGGGAGAATTGCTTGAGCCTGGGAGTTTGAGACCAGCCTAGGCAACATAGCGAGACTATGTCTCTACAAAAAATAAATAAATTAGCTGGGCGTAATGGTGCATGCCTGTGGTCCCAGCTACATGCGTAATGGTGCATGCCTGTGGTCCCAGCTACATGGGAGGCTGAGGTGGAAGGATCGCTTGAGCCCAGGAGTTCGAGCCTGCAGTGAGCTATGATTATTATGCCACTGAACTCCAGCCTGAGTGACAGAATAAGATCCTCTCTCTCTCTCTCTCTCTCTCTCACACACACACACACACACACACACACACGCACACACACACACACGAATTTGGGTGAGGAGGAAGCACTGTTTTGCCCTCATTCTCTTGAGGCAGTGAGTAGGTAACAGCCTCTCTCTGGCCTAAATAAAAAGTGTCTTGAGTGCATAATGCCAAGACCCACACAGCAGTATTTATGTTACGATTTCTATAGAATCCCATTTATACATCCAACGATTATTTGTTAGGCATTTTATACAGAACCTGAAACCTGGACACAACCTTCATATAACCCCTTGATTCTCTATACAAAGCAATGCCCAGGGAAATTGAGAGAATTCTTTCCATAACAGGAGGCCACTTCCTCCAACCAATAGGTTCTGAATTTGCTTTCTAAAATTTTAGATAATCACACACACACACACACACACACACACACACACACACCCCAAACAAAACCTTTGAGAGTACTAGTGCTTTCATTTTCCAAAATATAGTCAATCATTGTTATTTGTGGTAGCTGTAATCTGTAAAAGTCACTACAAACACTGAACTAGGGAACATTGAACCACTGCTCCTAGGAGAAATACAGGCTTAGGTTCCTGTCAGCCTCTGGTCACACATCAACCAGCCAATACATCAGTCACCTTATATGCCAATCACCTTATCTTATGTTTCTGTT